>NC_000010.11:15313030-15464545 GCF_000001405.40 Homo sapiens | reverse complement strand
CCCTAGGAAACTTGGCAAGCATTCCATACATCCCAGGTTGACAAGAAGTGATTTGAACGTACAGCAGAGACCAGAACCTAAGCCATCCACACATCTCCAGCCAATATATAGACCCTGTTCCCGTGCACAGAGGAGACATAAAAGAGCATGCAGGAATGAAAGTCCAGGCAGATGTAATAGCCTGAAGTTTGAATTTGCTTTTTTATATTTATTTATTTATTTATTTATTTACTTATTTATTTATTTTGAGACAGACTCTCACTTTGTCGCTCAGGCTGGAGTGCAGTGGCACAATCTCAGCTCACTGCAACCTCTGCTGCCCAGGTTCAAATGATTCTCCTGCTTCAGCCTTCCAAGTAGCTGGGATTACAGGTGTGCACCACCACACCCTGCTAATCTTTGTATTTTTAGTAGAGACGGCATTTCACCATGTTGGCCAGGCTGGTCTCAATCTCCTGACCTCAAGTGATCTACCGGCCTCAGCCTCCCAAAGTGCTGGGACCATAGGCGTGAGCCACTGCACCCGGCCTGAATTTGCTTCTTATAGGCTTGAGGTGTTGGAGCACAACCACTGGTGAATCTTCAGCTGGACCGTAAGCTGTGCAAACAAAGGAGCAACTCCTCAAAAACCAGACTTGGAAATAAAAGCAAGAAAAGCAGTGTCTGCACAATGCTGGGGGAACAGAATTTACAGATTCCTTCAAGGCAAGTTACTAAAGAAAAACCAGAAACACCACCACCACAACAACCCTCAGAAAGAAGAAAAGTCAGAACTTCAATGAGACTTGCAAAGAAACAAGAAGACATGACTTACACTCAGGAAAAAAAAAGGGCTGTCAAGAGAAACTATCTCTGAGCACCCCAAGATATTGGAATTAGCAGGGAAAGATTTCAAAGTAGCTGTCATAAATATACTTAAAGAACTAAAGAAAATCATGTTTAAAATAATTAAAGGGAAGTATGATGACAATGACTCAGGGCATAGGAAATCTCAATGAAGAGATTTAAGCAATTATAAGACAGAACCAAATGGAAATTGTGAAGTTGAAAAGTGTAACTGAAACGAAAAATTTAATAAAGGGCTTTAGCAGAATATTTGAAATGTCAGAAGAATCAATAGTCTTAAAAATAGAATAACAGAAATTATTCTATCTGAAGAACAGTGAGAAATGAGGTCGAAAAAAAAATATTCAGCGGCCCAGAGACTTGGGTGACAATATCAAGTATCAGCATACATTTATTGGGGGTCCAAGAAGAAAAAAGGGAGAAAAAAGTCAGAGAGGAGGCTGGAAAAAATATTTGAAGAACTGATGGCAACCAACTTCATAAATTTGATTAAAAACATTAATCTACAGCTCCAAAAAGCTTAACAAATCCAAGTAGCATAAATACAAACACATCCACATGTATACCTATCATAGCCAAACTATTGAAAGACAAAATCAAAGAGAGAGTCTTAAAAATATGAAGAGAAAAACAACTTATATTCAGGTGGGCTGTTATGAAAACTCTTACACATTTGGGCAAGAAATAATGATTGCTTGAATGAAGCCAAGATGCCCCTAAGGAATTTAAGCTCAAAATAATGAAATCATTGCCATTGAGTTCAGATCAATGAACTGGGAGACAGAGGATGAACAATACCAAATTTTTCCACCTCTGGAAACACACATTAAATTAAAAAAAAAAAAAAAGGAAAAGAATCACATAAATGACTCCCAAAGAGAAGGCTAAAAGAGTAGATAACTTACTCTGCATCTCCACGTTCAGTGGTTTCTAAGCAATGAACTTGGAATAAACAAGAAAACAGAATGAGTTTTAATCATTGCAGCAGCCAGACTGGTATGCAAAATGTTATTTACATTCTAAGAACATTTTTTTCCACCAAGCATTTTATGTTTGTTTGTCCTACCTAAAGAAATCATCATCATCAAAAATCTGGGGATCTGTGTATAGTTAGCAGTTGCATGCCGGCCTGTTGGTTGTGCAGACGCGTGTAGCCATCGATGGAGTCAATAAAGCTGGGAAAACAGAACAGAGGCATTGCTGATGAGAAACGCCAACTTTATATTCCAGCACTGGCATTCAGAAGTCTTGATATTCCTGCATGTATTTGAATCTCCTGCTTGTTTTAATTATGTTCATCCAATTCTAAGTGATGCATCATCTCAAGCATGACCAAGAATGGAAATATTTCTTTGTGGAATTTTTTAAAATCTTGATTGCTGCAAGGAAAATACCTTAAAGAAAACACAGTATCTTTCCAAACACAAAAGATTCCTGTAACTTAGACCATTCCTGAAATGGAATAGTATTAGTGTTGTGGCCTATTTGCTCTATTCCTAGTAGTCATGATGATACACCCCAAAAGGACAGAAATCAGAGGGAATGTATGAACAGAGCACAGGAAACAGGACCAGGAAAGCAGCGAACTGGACCCCAAAAATATTTTTCATGTCTTCGTTTGTGAGAGGAAAGAGCTGTTTACTCAAAATGCTGCTTCAGGGGACAAGAAAACAGAAGAGAACAATGACCTGGTGACCTCCATGAATTGCTGGCTGTGGCTGAGCCTCTCAGCTCTGTCTGCAGGAAGCCAGCTATCCAGACTCCAAACTTCCAGCCCTGATCGGTACGGGTGATGGGGCAAGCCTCGAGCAAGAAAGTCATGAGAATGCTATTAGCCACATCCAAAGTTCAGGCTGACTGTTTCCTCCCTGAGCATTTGGAGAGCACACGCAGAAGCTCTGAGGCCAAGAGGCCAGACCTGCTGCTTGTAGGATTGGGAGACAGAGAACGTTGCTTCCCTTCCCAAGGGAGTTGATGACAGTGGGTGGTCAGCTTTGGCTCAGAGTCCTGGTTTCATGGGAAATCCTTGTTTTTTCTGGGTCACTGAGTTAGTGTGCCTTGGAATTACGAGACAGACAGGAACCTGACACAATCTCTGAGTGCATCCTTCTGCCCTCAGGTTAAGATCACCTTGACTGGTCTGTGATGTTCGGGTGACATTATAGCCTTCTTGAACTGTGCTGTATTGCCCCCTGCTGAGCAGCCTGGTGATCCACCCAGGAAAATGGCTTTTAACTACACCCAAGCTGTCCAGGACTTAGTGTGATGAGACGCTGAGTCACTATGAATAGGACATCTGTTTCTTTACTGTTTCTTTAGACTGTTCCTGTGATTGAGATGGCTTTGCCCTTATCCATTGACACTCTTTTTTAATACCCATGGTGACCTGCCCATGAGAACATGGCTTGGGACATATCTCATCCAAGCATGTCTCTGGCTATAGCAAAAATCACAGATCCTGGCTGGGTGCAGTGGCTCACACCTGTAATCCCAGCACTTTGGGAGGCCAAGGCAAGAGGATCACTTGAGCCCAGGAGTTCAAGACCAGGCTGAGCAAAATAGCAAGACCCTGTCTCTACAAAACAGTTTAAAAATTATCCAGGCATGGTGGTGCGCACCTGTAGTCCTGGCTGCTCAGGAGGCTGAAGCAGGAGAATTGCTTGAGCCCAGGTGTCCAAGGCTGCAGTGAAGCCAGCCTGGGCAACAGAGTAAGATCCCATGTCAAAAAAAAAAATCATATATCCTAAGGATTCCAAAAAAAAAGGTCATTGGATTCTAATATGTATCCAGTACTCACATCCCCTTTAAGCCTCCCTGAACAAGTATTAGTCAACCTGCATTTAATTATCTCCAAGGATAGCGGCGGTTTTTTTTTCCCCTCTGGGAGCAGTTGCTTCTGCACGAAGATTCTTGTTTGTTGTTGTTGATGTTGTTGTTGTTGTTTTTGAGACAGATTCTCACTCTGTCACTCAGGCTGGAGTGCAGTGGCACATTCTTGGCTCACTGCAACCTCTGCCTCCCAGGTTAAAGAGCTTCTCCTGCCTCAGCCTCCCAAGTAGCTGGGATTACAGCTGCCCACCACCGTGTCTGACTAATTTTTGTATTTTTTGGTAGAGATGGGGTTTCACCATGTTGGCCAGGCTGGTCTCCAACTCCTGACCTCAGATGATCCTCCCACCTCAGCCTCCCAAAGTGCTGGGATTACAGGCATGAGCCACCAAACCTGGCCTTGCACTAAGAGTCTTAATGTTAAGTGAAAACAGGTTTCCCTAAGACTTCTGCTCAAGTTTAAGTTCTAGAGTGTAAAAATCACATCCTTCTAATCCTTCTTATTAGGGTTGTATTTCACTATGTTCCTCCATTTCACCCATGAGTTTACCATGAGTAGTCTTGTCAAATCCCTTGTTTAAATCCAGAAACACTATACCATTCCCTACAAACTCTGCCACCAAAAGAAGTTAGTATGACCAACTTGTTCTTAGGGAACAGCTGCTGGTGAGCTCTGCTTTCTTTTTGACAACTCACAAGTCATTCCTTTAATAATCCACTTCTCCAATCTTACCCCGGGGTTTATGTGAAGTTCTGTGGCTACAGTCTCAGAATATTTGAGAATGATGACTACTCTCTAATATACACCTCAAACACATCATTCTATTGAGGATCCAAACGTTCCCACGATTTCCTTTGGTGTCATTTGGTGTAAAATCCCTGGAAAGCAATCTAGAAATACCAAGTAAGAATTTGTTGCATACCGTCCTTGGACCAGGACAGGCCACAATGACATTCCCTTGAGTCTTCCTTACTAGGACTGTAGCTCATCTCAGGGAAGATATCAGACTGAGGAAAGGCTTACATATAATGATGGTGATATTTATGATTGCATTTTTAGGACCAGGAAACTTTGGAAACAATCTAAAAACCCTCAACATTGAGTTTATGACTTAAATTAAGGAAATATTATGATCACCAAAAAAAATTCTGGAAAAAAAATTTTAACGACATGATTCAAATTGCACATATCTCAAATTGTGTATGTATCAAAGTATATATAATCTCAATTTTGTTAAAAAAGAAGAAAACACACCATTATATGTAGAAAAATTTATTCCTGGTTAATAGAATTACTGTTTGTTTTTACTTTTCTACATCTTTCATTTTGTCTGCTTTTAGTATCAAATATAAAATTATCTTTTAAGTCATTGCTTAGGGTTACAGTACTTTAGGATTACATACAGAAGGCAATATCAAAGGGGACTAAAGTCCAATAGCACCTCTTCTCAGAAACCACATGAAAGCGCTCAAAAGTTGAAAGTGATTGCTTCTGTGAAGCAGTATGGGGAGGGAAAAATGGAGGTGGGATCACCAGCCCACTGTTTTTGTTGTAAGTCTTTTAACACTATCCCAACTTTCAAACTATGTGCATGTATTACATCTATAAACAATAGATTTAATGTTAAATTTAAATTACTTGTAAAAATAAAATATTTTATAGAAATCATAAGAAAACAGAAAGAACATAGAAAGGAAGAAAGGATATTGTTATTTTAATAAAGTATAAAAATAGCAGGAAGAATTTCATTTAAGAAATCATTCATGAGAGCTTTTTGGGTGCCAGGCACTCTATCCGACTCTTCCTAGGATGGAAATAGGAGAAAAGCACTGATCATGTTCTTACAGACCTTACATATACAGACCAGGGGGCTGGCATGGCCAGGTTCTGGGGAGGGCCCCCTTCCTGGCTTACATATGGCTGCCTTCTCACTATATCCTCATGGAGTGGAGCGTGCAAGCTCCTTGTGTCCATTCCTCTTATAATAAGGAACTAATCCCATCATGGTGGCCCTACCCTTACAATCTCAACTAAACTAATTACCTCCCAAAGGTCCCACCTCCAAATAACCTCACATTGGCAGTTAGGATTTCAGCATGTGAATTTGGCTGAAGGAGAAACACAAACATTCAGTCCAGTTACCCAAAAAGCATGATTTGCAATTCTTCCTTGAGCTTTGAATGAAGGCTCACAGGCCCTTATGTTCTACCCAAATTACCTGATGGGCTCAGATATGCTGGGGCTGTGACAGGTGAAAGTCAATGCTTTCACTTATCATTTCTTAAAAGGATGGGTTATAGATATGATCTGAGCCATAAGGTAAAAAGCAGATTTTTTTTAAAGGAAATGCTAACCACAGTGCCAACACCTGCTACAATTAACAGGGCTCATTTCCTATTCATCTCCGTAGCCCCCACACCTGGCAGAAAACCTGGCATATAGTGGGTACTCAATAAAAGATATGTATAAAAGTAAGGAGCAGGATTTTAAGATCTTAGTTTTCTTTTTTCACTCAGAAAATTTAGAATTTATTACTAAATATTTTTATCATCCCAAATAGCACCCTCTTTTATTTATGTATTTTTTTCCATTAAGCCTTCTGTGCTCCTATAACACCCTCTTTTATTGTTTAAATAATAACCTCTGGTGTCTGCTTTTCTTGTATTAACCAAGAATAAAACAATTAGCCTTGAAAAAATTGTTTTATTATTATTATGAATAATATATTTACTACATAATAGATACATTTAATATCATTTCAAATGGAAAAAATGATGATTGAGGTGCTTTGAAACATAATCAAGCACTGTTCATTCTTCTATATCATAAAATTATTTCACTGTTTTTGTATTCCTCGACAGCTTACTGCATAACAAGTTCAGAGAGAAATATACTCTGGAAGATTTTCCACATCCTTCCCAGACCCAATCCATGTCTTTGTTTCCCTTCTATTTATTCTTGTGTAACAAACCACTCAAAAACCTAGTGGAGCAAAGCCACCATTTTATCATGCTCATAAATTCTAGGGGTCAGGAATTCACAAAGGGCACAGTGGCTGGTTTCTGTCCCAAGATGCCTGTGGCCTCAACTGTGAAGATTCAAGCACTGGGGATGACTGGATGGCTGGAGGTTAGAAACAAGTGGGGTGTCTGTCTTTGGTCACCCCAAGGGGGTTGAAGCGGGTGGTCTATTGGGCCGCAGCTGGGGATGTTGATCGGACCAACAGCCAAGGCCTCCCCGAGTGGCTTGGGCTTCCTTACAACATGGAGGCTACTGGGTGGTCACATTTTCCACATGGCAGCTCAGAACTCCAAAAGCAAATGTCCCAGTAGATAAGATAAAGCTGCACTTCCTCTTAAGACCAAACCTCAGAAGTTAAAAGTGCCACCTCCATTGCGTTCTATTGATTACAAGCAAGTCACAGAATCTGCCTGGATTCTAAGGGAAGGGGACAAAGACACTCCCCATCCAATGGAAGGGGTGTTAAAGAATTTATACACATATTTAATAACTACCACAACTTCTTTCTGTTTAGTTTCTCCTTTCTATTATTTCTTTCTTTCTTTGATTCTCTGTTCATTTATACCTTTTTTCCTTTCCTCCAGGGCAGAAGATGCCCTCACCTTCTGTAAGCCAAACAAGCTATTCAGTCATGCCATACACATTCCTTGAGCTCCTATGATAATAGAGGTATTAGACAGGGCCCTTCTTGAAAGAGCTTAAACAGGATCTTGGAGCCCTAGTAGAGGTCTTCCCTCAACCAGGAGACAATCTGGCTGGCAGGATTTTGGCCAGCCCATCTTGTGTGAACTTCAGACATCAATGAATTATTGCTTCAACCTCATTTCGAAAAGTATACTTTTCAAAACAGGAACAATGAATTCATATGACTTCAGTGGATGTCTTAAGAATTTCAAGTTCAAAGGTTATGTTAAGTGACTTTTAGGAAAAAAACAATAAAATCACGGAGAAGACACTGGATCGCCATATAACTATTATTTGATTAAGGAAATTACAGCAGCCGGGCACAGTGACTCATGTAATCCCAGCACTTTGGGAGGCTGAAGCAGGCAGATCACAAGGTCAAGAGATTGAGACCATCCTGGCCAACATGGTGAAACCCCGTCTCTACTAAAAATACAAAAATTAGCGAGGCTTGGTGGCGTGCACCTGTAGTCCCAGCTACTCGAGAGACTGAGGCAGGAGAATCGCTTGAACCTGGGAGGCAGAGGTTGCAGTGAGCCGAGATCGTGCCACTGCAGTCTAGCCTGGTGACAGAGCAAGACTCCATCTCAAAAAAAAAAAAAAATAAAAATAAAAAAAGGAAATTACAGTAAAGAAGGTTTCCTTCACAAAACACAGAATCACAAACTTTATTAACTTAAATATAAATTGAATGGCCTGAGAGACTCCAGATAATTTCCAAAAGTTTTCTTGGAAATTAAATGTTAATAATTTAAAAGCACTATAAGATTATTATGAAAGAATAGAACACAAAATTATATATAAAATATGGTCTAAATTTTGTAATTATTTATGTGTATATAAAAACACTGAAAGGAAGCATACCAAAATTTTAGTAGTGTTTACTTTTTAGAAATTCAGATTGCTGGTAGTATTTATTATTTTCTTTATGTTTTCTGAATTTCTTAAATGTTCTAGGGTAAGTACATGTCATTACAATAAGTACATGCCAGTAACATTATAAAAATAAAAAGTATTGTGAGTTCTTACTATTTAATTAAATCTCACAATTAATAAACTTAAAAAGCAAACAATCTTTTCTGCAAAGCATATCAAACTTTCTAGTGCTTTTGTGTACCAAGTTTAGACTTTGACATCATATCCAGTTTCTTCTACTTAGAGCACAGAAATTGTCTACAATGAAGACACAGTGAGTACCGGGATCGTAACATCTTTTCTTCATAGTGACTGTTGACAAAAAAAAAGTCAAACTCCATGAAATATTTGAAAAGATTTATTCTGAGCCAAAGGTAAGGACCCTGACCCATGGCACAGCCTCAGGAAGTCCTGAGAATGTGTCCAAAGTGGCTGAGTTAAGCTTGGTTTTATACATTTTAGGGAGATGTAAGACATCAATCAATACTAAAGTATACATTGGTTCAGTCTGGAAAGGTGGAACAACTCTAAGTAGTGGGGCAGGGGAGGAGATTACATGTCACAGATGGATTCAAAGATGTTCTGACTGGCAATTCATTGAAAGAATTAAGTTATTATCTAAAGACCTGGAGGAGTGTGTGGGTTAAGATAAGGGGTTGTGGAGACTGAAGTTCTTATTTTGTAGATGAAGTCTCACAGGTGGCCACTCTTAGAGGCAATACATGGCAAATGTTTTCTATTTGGACTTTTCAAAGGTGCTAGACTCTCAGCTAATTTCTTCAGGATCAGGAAAAGACCTAGAAAGGGGAAGCAATTCTTTACAGAATGTAAGTTTCCCTTACTTTGCAGGGCCATTTCAAAATATGTCAAATATATTTTGGGGTAAAAATACTTTGATTTCTTTCAGGGCCTGATATCTGTCATGTGATGCTACACTGGAGTCAGGTTTGAATTTGGTATCTTATTGCTACAAAAGTCTGTTCTGTCCATCTTAAAATCTGTTTTAATGTTAATGCTAGTCAGTTGTGCCTGAATACCAAAGGGAGGAGGGTAGAATGAAGCATGCCTGATCCTCCCTTCCCATCATGGCCAGAACTAGTATTTTCTGTAGAAAATGCTTGTTGAAAGAAGGGGTCTACTCAGTCAGATGAGGGGCTGAGGATTTTATTTTTGGTTTATATTACCAAGAATTGAGAAGGAGGAACACCTAAACAAAACACTTCACCCAAATATTACTCATTCATTAAACTCAAACGTATTGATGTAGAAATGTTTCTATATGTCTGTTGCTCAAAAGGCAATGTTAGAAGGATTAAAATAATAGGACCTATTTTTCAGTATTTAACAAAATGACAGAATTTCATCAATAGTCCTCCAGAATCTCTTGAAGGAATTTTACTTGTAGGAATTATTTGTTTAATAATTAAAGGGTCCTTTTAATTCCTCAAGCCCAGTTTACTCTAGGTTCGGCAATTCACATTTTCATCATTCAAGACAGAGAACCAAGGTGGGCATAGTGCCTCACACCTATAATCTCAGCTACTTGGAAGGCTGAGGAGGAAGGATCACTTGAGACCAGAAGTTCAAGGCCAGCCTGGGTAATATAGCAAGACCCTATCTCAAAAAAATAAAATAAAAAAGACAGAGAGCCATTTGGGAGGAAAATTATTTCCCTATATTTGCAGCAAGTCAACCTGTCCAGACACAGAAAATGGAACACCCAACCAAATAAAAAATCTCTGAAGGATCTCTAAATTCTAAATCAGAGGTGAGCGATGAGATGCATGCAAGCTACACAGCATCTTCCCATGATAGCAAATATTTTCTAAATAAAAAGTTCTTTAACCAGAGTCAGGCATGAGTTATTTGATTACAGTCATAGAGGAAACAAGCTTAGTGACCTGACCTGGCCTAAAAGCCAAATGCCCACCCATCTGTGTCTCCCTAAGCAAAGGCCATCTCATCCTCTAACGAACAGATGGCTCCCTGAGGGCCCACAGCAGGGTCCTACAGCGCACCTGCAATGACTTCAGTTCCACTTCATGGAAAGGAGGTTACAGGGCTACTCTTTGCTCCAGGAGACAGGCAGAGGGATTTTCCTATTGATTTACATAAGGTTATGCTTTCAAAACAAGACAAGAGACAGCTGTTTGGGAGAAAGCCTATCTATAGTATTTCCCTAATGCACAGTGTGTGTTAGTGTTGGCATTGCAAGGAATTAAACAAGAATCCAGTTATCATAATGCACAGGGAATTCAGGACTGGGAAACTGTGCTAGTGAGGGAAGTGAATCCTTTGATTTCTGGCCACCCTTACCCTGGCCGTCACAAAATCTCACAAAAACGTGTGCATCCGTCCTGGTGGTGTTTCTGGTCCTTATGAACGGTGACACTTTGGGATGATCGAGTCTTTCAATCCTGTCTTTCTGTTTTATGTTTTCCAGGCTTCTACCTCATTCTGCCCCATGACATATACACGTTCATCTGCTGAAGGTTCTCCCCACCCTTTTTGTTTCCTCTAAAATAAATATGACCTGCCCTAACTCTATCCTGTTTCTTCCTTCTGGGATGTGGCCAGCCGCCATCAAGTCAAGGGTTGCGATCAAAGTGAGGCTGCTCCCACACAAGAGAAAACACAGATTGTCAGCTGTACTCTCTCCCTCTACCAGACAAAGTAATTCAGGAGAAGGGGGGCAGAGAAAATTGGGGGATGCTTCCCACCTCTTAATGGTGTGAGTAAATGAGGCTGAGGGAAGGAGACTATTTTCTTCGGAGATCTGTGACCAGAATCTAGTGTTGCCTGCTGAAAAATGACTTAACACTGGATGTGAATCTCCAACTCAGAGATTTCTCTGCTCCCTTTGGATACAAAAAATTCAGAAATTCACCCACAGAGAATCCCCTCATCACACCTCTGTCAACAAAATAACAAGAAATAAAGTCATTCCAAAATAATCTTTACCAAAGCCACTGAGATTCCCAGTCCTGTGTTTGTGGATCTACAGCAGTTCTACGACTCCATAAAAATATCTTACCCCAAGGTCTCTTCTAAATCACAGCACCTTAATTTTATGAGCTGGCAGGGCAAGCCCATTACAGGCAAATTTGCATCAGAATAGTTTCCTCTGCCCCACATCTAAGGCACAACATTTTGTATCAGACCTCCACTTCCATCATACCTTCAAAGGTAGAAGTTTCTTTTCACTTGCTCCTCTGTCATCCTCAGCTTGCCGGAACCCGCCCCCCACCATGCCCCACCCTCCCCCAGCCCCATTCTTCTTCCTCCACCAATGGTAGCAAAAAGGCTACGGCAGCTTCCAAACTCACAGACTTGTCCAGAGGCAGAAACGGACCATTGTTCCTCCTATATCTATTTATTTTAGAGACAGAGTCTTGCTGTGTTGCCCAGGCTGGAGTGCAGTGGTGCAATCATAGATCACTGCAGCCTCCATCTCCTGGGCTCAAGCAATCTTCCCACCTCAGCCTCCCCGGTAGCTGGAACCACAGGTGTGCATCACTACATTCGGCCAACTTTTAAACTTTTTTTTTTTTTAGAGATGGGGTCTCACTGTATTGCCCAGGCTGCTTTTGTATCCGTTTTTATTAGGGCAGAAAGACATTCTCAAAATGTTTCCAGCAGATTCCCTCTCATGTCTCATTGACTACAGTTATGCACCAAGCCCATACCTCAACCTGGTGTAAGAAGGGACGCAAAATTGTCATGCCAGCTTTCACTCCTGGGATAGTGGAAGATCCACGAAGCACATTGCAACCACATGCCACAACATCTTGGAGTTCTGTTTGTAAAGGAGGCTAGAGAAATGATAAGTTAATAGGCTACCTACAGTGTCTGCCATGGCATTTGTGTTGGGTTTTAAGTCAATTACTCTTCCAACCTAATGGATCCTCAGGTTGGATAGTCTATGATATAAGGCCCAGTGAACATGGCTTACTAGGTACTCATTAAAAGGGGTTAGGACTAAGTTCTCAGATCTCATATTTAACTGTGTCTGAAAGCTGGTTCACAAAAAATAGTGGATAGTTACAAGCATATTTGACTTGGCAGAAAGAAGACTAGAATTGCTATGCCACAGGGGTGTATGAGAGGAAGGTACCCTGTTAAGGAGAGATTTTGAAAAGTTTCCAGATGTCCTTTCCATAACACTGCAGTAGCATGTTCCTTGGGTTATGTGCTCACAGTTCAGGGGCTACTCTGACAAATTCTATTCAATCAATCAACAATTGAATCAATGTTTTCTCCACCGAATTAATTACTTTTTTCAAGGACTAAACCAAATGCCCCAGTTGGTGTCATGTTGATAGAGTCTTCATTGAACCAATATATCTAGAAGCCCATCAATTATGGTGACAACTGAAGAGGAGGAAGAGCATAGATCACTCACAATTCAAAGAAAAAAGTAAACCACATCTCCGAATGGGAGTTGTCCTCTTCCTACTCATCCTGTTGGAAGAGAAAGACCTTAGGAAATTTGAGGAATCCTTTAGCAAGAGAGTAATAAGGCATAAATCTTGGTGACAGTGAAAAGGCTGGCTCAGGAAGTAACACCGTCCATGAAAAACTCCTCCAGTGTAAGGGAGAGTGATGAATGGTCTAAACATGACACTCCTATGTAGCTTGGAAGGGGTTTGCACAGTTGATTTTAGCTCTTAGAGAGAGTGATTTGCAGAAACTGGAGACGGTTTGTCATTGTTTTTGCCAGTTCCCCCTGCACAGCAGGGAGCTCAGGAAGAAAGAAGGGAGTGTGTTCATAACAATTTCTTTCCTTCTTGAAAACCTGTTATCTGTGCAATTGGTGTAAGCTGACTTCCCTCTAAAACTGGAGGATGGGTTGTTCATGTTATAATTTATGGGGTGCTTATCAACAGACTTCAGTTTGCAGATGGCTGCAGGCAGAGAAATGAACTCTTATCAGGGACCATTCTCTTCGGCTGTCCTGTTGGTCTTGGATATCAATATGGGTACAGCACCAATGTCACACACTTGGAATGAGAATAACATAAGTCTTGTACTCTGCCCTTTGGAAACTGAGTGTAACATGTCTTCTGATGTCTGTCATGTCTCTTTATCACTAGATTTTAAATCTCCCATATTTCCCAGAACATAGGAGAATTAAACAGGAAGACCAGTAACTCTTCAGGAGTCACAAAATGAAACATGCTGAATTTTTTTAAGTCTAAAATAGTGAAGTAGGGAAAGTGGAGGAGGACTTCTTCTGGCTATTCAAGGACCAATATAGAAGCAAATAGATAAGCAATTTGGTTACTGGAAGACTTTTAGCCAGAGAGGAAGCTGTCAGTTTCTACAATTACACTGTCTGTGAATTCATTTTCTGCATTTTGTTACTTTTTTAAGATAAGCAGCCCAAAAGTCCATTTATCCCAATGTTCCTTTAAAGTTGTTATCAGAAAACTACAATTATTTCAATATTACTCTCATGCTTAAAGTATTTCCAGAACTGTATCCTCAGAGACACTCACAACCTAAGAAAATGAGTCTCATTACTTTACACCGAGGTTTCATTTAAAGAATCAGATAGAATTCTCTAGCTTGTACCCTCACTTTATTCACTAGTCTTATTTCTAAATGACATTTTGCCAAAAAATGTCCCTTCAAAGGGCCAATACAGCATTTGATCCATAAAGAAAATTTGATTGGCATGAACTTTGTCTCTCATTTTTGTTTTTTTGAGACAGGGTCTTGCTCTGTTGCGCAGGCTGGAGCGTAGCAGCGCAATCACAATCACAGCTCACTGCAGCCTCCAACTCCTGGACTCAGGTGATTCTTCTGCCTCAGTCTCCCAAGTAGCTGGGACTATGTGCGTACACCACCACACCCGACTAATTTTTGTATTTTTTTGGTAGAGATTGGGTTTCGTCATCTTGCCCAGGCTGGTCTCGAATGCCTGGGCTCAAGGGATCTGCCCACCTCAGCCTCCCAAAGTGCTGGGAATACAGATGTGAGCCACTGTGCCAAGCCTGGCATGGACTTTGAAGACTTTATTTTTTTAGAGACAGAGTCTCACTCTAATGTCTAGGCTGAAGTGCAGTCGCTTGTTCACAGCTCCCTGCAGCCTCCAACTCCAAGCTCAAGCGATCATCCAGCCTCAGCGTCCCAAAGTACTAGCATTACAAGCATGAGCCACCATGCTCAGTCTGAAGGCTCTTTTAAAATGAGTCCTAAAGGTTTTCTGATCAATAGAAGGCCAACAGGAATAAAGATACAACATTCATTTGTGAATATATTTGTTTAGAAAAAAATGACATCATTGCTGTATTATGATGTCGTTTAGTTCTATTAAGAGGCTAATTGCTATTAAAATATTCCTATCACTACTACCAACTACCCTCCACTGTCAAAAACAAACCAAAGTCAAATATTTCTATGTGCTGACAATATTGATGTAATCCTTTTATTCTTTGCATTTTTTCCCAGCTTCTCGCCTGTGAATGTCTTTACATTAACACCAAGACACTTACAAGTGCTGGGTAAAAATAATGTAACGATAACTGGACCAGAGAAAGAAGCTATTAGGAACACCGCAGAAAAAGTTCATTGGTTTTAAGCATTTGCGTCAATATGCATTACAGCATTGGATTCAGAGTCTAGAAGTCAGGCTAAGATTCCAGTCATGACTGTGCCACTACTAGAGGTGTAAACTTTGCCAATCATGTCAATTTCCTCATGTGCAAAATGTAGATAATAGTGGTACTACCTCTCTTGTATGGTGAGGATTACATGACATAATGCATATGAAGTCCCTAGTGATATAGGAGTTAAGAAGAAATTACTGGCCAGGTGCGGTGGCTTACGCCTGTAATCCCAGCACTTTGGGAGGCAAAGGTGGGTGGATCACGAGGTCAGGAGATCGAGACCATCCTGGCTAACATGGCGAAACCACGTCTCTACTAAAAATACAAAAAAAAAAAAAAAAAAAAAAAAAAAAAATTAGCCGGGCATGGTGGTGGGCGCCTGTAGTCCCAGCTACTCGGGAGGCTGAGACAGGAGAACGGCGTGAACCCGGGAGGTGGAGCTTGCAGTGAGCCGAGATTGCGCCACTGCACTCCAGCCTGGGTGACTAAGCAAGACTCTGTCTAAAAAAAAAAATAAATAAATAAATAAATAAAAAAGAAGAAATTACTTAGGCAGATAGTGAAGGTAAGGGAGTCCTCGGTAAGGTTTTCCTTTTAATGAAAAGCAGCCCCAGAATCATTTTCTTTTCTAGCAAACCGCAGCCTGGAAAATCGAGCTGCAGACATAGACAAGCAAGCTGGAAGCTTGCGCGGGTGAATGCCGGCTGCTGTGCCAATAGAAGAAGGCTACCTGGGACTAGGCATGGTCAAAATGGTGGCTCCATCTTCCCTTCTCTTTGCCAGCTGCGTGTACAGTGAGGAGCAGGCAACATGGCACCAGCCAAGTGGAAAGCCCATTTGCATAATCAGATTAGGGTGGGGTGGCCAGCCTTTTCCGTGCACTATGTAAATGTCACTCCTGATCCAACAACCTGTGGGCCCTATGTAAATCAGACACTGCCTCCTCAATGCTGTCTGTAAAATCCGATGCACTCCCATTCTGGCCGGAATTCCCGGTTCAGGAGCCCCTCTCTCTCAAGAGAAAAAGCTGTTCTCTTTTCTCTTTCCTTAGCCTATTAAACCTCCGCTCCAAAATTCACTCCTTGTGTGTGTCCATGTCCTTAATCTTCTTGATTCAAGAGGACGATCCCTGGTTATTTACCCCAGACAATGACGCCCCTTCACTAGCATCACTCTGGGCAAATAAATTTCAGGGAATCTTAGCTCTTTGTCTAATGCTCACCTAAAGCTGAAATTCTGGGTGGAATATCCTTCAGATAAATGACTATTTTTCTACCTTGCCTATACTACAGTAAGCTGGGTTAGAAAATCAAAATTTAAGAAAATTGGAAAGTGATTTTTTAAAGTCTGACTTAAAACTCTATCTTTTCCTCCTAGAAATTCCCTTTCGACAAACTAAAGTAGTTGCCAGCACACAATAGCATGCTTTTTGCTCGTGATACATTTTGTTTTGTCATGTTCATTAAATACAAGAATCAGTCTAGTTTGGAACATGGACTTGTCAACTTCCAAAGATGAATCCACAGGGCTGTCTAATTCATCACAGAGGAATATAGACATCTCTTACTACTGGCGACTGGCTGCCTCGATACTACAGAAATCTAATTACACCAAAGGAGCGAAACATCAAAATCCACCATTTTTGTTTAAAATTGGTACAACCAGACCAATTGGTTTATAAATCAATTGCTTTTCCAACCAAATAGTCCCTCGGGTTGGATAGTCTATGATGTGTGTTGCAAAGGAAAAGCAAGAAAGTCCACTGTCTTCTCTTGAGCAAAAGGAATAGCCACAGTTTCCATCCACAAGAAATCTAACATGTGAGTGTATGGGTTGGGATATAGTTTGGCCTCTGAAAATGACAGATCCAAACTCACTGTGACTTTACAAAGCTGGTAGGTTATTTCTCACTCACATCAAAATCCAGGAAGGCAATCCAGGGCTGGAATAGAGGCTGCACAATCATCAAGAATCCAGATTTTTCTTTCTGGTGTTCTGCCAGCCTCAAAACACAGCTTCCATCCCCTGGTTTAAGTTGGCTGCCCCATCAGGTCTACACTCTAGCTTGCAGGAAAGGCAGTGAGGGCAAGAGAAGGTCATGCCTTTGCCCATTGGGTACCAAAAACAAATTAACCAGGCATGGTGATGCACATCTGCGGTCCCAGCTACTCAGGAGGCTGAGGCAGGAAGACTGCTTGAGCCCAGGCGTTCAAGGTTGCAGTGAGCCAAGATCATGCCACTGCACTCCAGCCTGGGTGACAGAGTAAGACCTTGTCTCTAAATACATAAATAAGAAAAGTATCAGGAATCTCTCTTTTTTCTTTTTTTTTTTTTTTTGAGACAGGGTTTTGCTTTGTCGCCCAGAGAGGATTGCAGTGGCATGATCTTAGCTCACTGCAACCTCGAACTCCCAGATTCAAGCAATTCTCTTGCCTCAGTAACCCCAGTACAGGCACACCCAGCTAATTTTCTTGTTGTTGTATTTTTAGTAGAGACGAGGTTTCACCATGTTAGACAGGCTGGTCTCGAACTCCTGGCCTCAAGCGATCCACCCATCTCAGCCTCCCAAAATGCTAGGATTATAGGCGTGAGCTACCGTGCCCGATCACATCACTGTTTGCATGCATCCCATAGTTTACTAAGTAGGCAGTAAAGCATAAGTCAACTCTTATTCTAGAATAGTCTGATTGCTGCATCTCTAGGTTGTCCCTATACTTTCAGATGCTCTCTCTGCAAGTACTTTAACTGCAGCTTAATTTCCTCTGTCTTCGAAGTACTGAATGTTTCCCAAAGGTCTTACAGGCAAGTTGGCCTTGCCTGGGACAGTCCTCTGCAGCTCCTCTTCATTTTGCAGAGCAATCACAGGGTTCTTAGTAAACGTGTTTTCATCACAACATCATCCAAACATGCAAACACAGTAGCCTTTGAAATCAATATTGAAAATTAAATCAATTTGGGTAAAAGGAAAAGAACTCATGGAGTTTAGCACTCATTTTAATATATATATATATATTCTTATTTCATTTTACATTAAAATCCCTTTATCTTTTAAAACTTTGACACCCACGTCCCCAAACCATACTGAAGCCTCAGGTGCCCTAGCAAAATTCTCCTGTGAGGCCTTCTATGGTCTTTACCCATTTTGCTGTCATGCATGTTATGGCTACAGGTCACCCTGTTTCTCATTTAATTTACCATGCCATCCGCAGTTCACCTCCAGAGCTTGGAAATCTGTGGTCCTGAATTTTGAAAGAAAGGAAAGTTATTTCTGCAAGCTGAGCATGGAGCCAGTTGCTACTCTCATGCCTGGAAGCGACCCCACCTTTGCTACAGGTTCTGAATGGTGTCAAGCCAGGAGTATGCATAGTGATGTCGAGCTGAAATGGGCCATGAGACAAAAGCACATTGGTCTTTTCTTCCTCAGGTGGAAAAAACTGAAATCATTCCAATAATCTTTATCTGTGCCAATCTCTTAAGAAAAAAAGATTCGGCCAGGCGCGGTGGCTCATGCCTGTAATCCCAGCACTTTGGGAGGCCGAGGCGGGCGGATCAGCAGGTCAGGAGATCCAGACGATCCTGGCCAACACGGTGAAACCCCGTCTCTACTAAAAATACAAAAAATTAGCCAGGCGCGGTGGCGGGTGCCTGTAGGCCCAGCTACTCAGGAGGCTGAGGCAGGAGAATGGCGTGAACCTGGGAAGTGGAGTTTGCAGTGAGCTGAGATTGCGCCACTGCACTCCAGCCTGGGCGATAGAGAGAGACTCCGTCTCAAAAAAAAAAAAAGAAAAGAAAAAAGAAAAAAAGATTCATAGGCGGAGTGCAGTGGCTCACACCTTAATCCCAGCACTTTGGGAGGCAGAGGCGGGCAGATCACCTGAGATTAGGGGTTCGAGACCAGCCTGACGAACACGGAGAAACCCCATCTCTACTAAAAATACAAAAAATTAGCTGGGCATGGTGGCATGCACCTGTAATTCCAGCTGCTTGGGAGGCAGAGGCAGGAGAATTGCTTGAACCCTGGACATGGAGGTTGTGGTGAGCCGAGATCATGCCTTTGCACTCCAGCCTGGGCAACAAAAGGGAAACTGTCTCAAAAAAAAAAAAAAAAGAAAAAGAAAGAAGAAAGAGAGAAAGAAAGAAAGAAAGAGAACGAAAGAGAGAAAGAAAGAAAAGAAAAGAAAAAAGAGAAAATATTTATAGCTAAATAGCAGAGGTAAGGAAGAGTCTAATGGCTTTGGGGGGTGGGGATGTGTAAGGATGGGGAGAGAGGCTAGACAGGTCATACAGCCTTGAGGGTGTGCAGCCTAGCATCCAACAATGACTGCCTTTTCTCATAGTTATTTAGTTAAGGTGGGTTTCAAATATAGAAACACATTTCCAGGGAGAATTGACCCCAAGTTGACCTCCATTTTTCACACCTTGTGTCTCCACTTTGATCACCCAAGGAGATCCAGAACTCTCATAACTGCAGTAGAGGGTCCCTCCTGCATTCACATTGAATCAAGGACAGTGGCAGTAATAACAACATGCCTGACACACTACCTCTCTGCAGTGCTGGAGAGAGGGGAACTGTGTTGCATGAGCCCAAATGCACACCCTCAAATAGTGCACAGGAAAATGCGTGAAGTGTGGTCCTCTAGCTTACATTTAAAGTGCATTTTAATCTATTACATGGTCCACATGGGGAGGGGAGAGATCTAGGAATAGCTTTTGGACTCTGTCACAAAAGTTGTCTCTCCCCCAGATTTTATCAGGGGTGTGTGGGAGTGTGTGTGTGTGTGGGGGGGGGGGGGGGGCGCGCACACACAGATGTAATCTTGCATGCTAACATGTGTGCCTGCATGCCAGCTATGTTGGGGGCAAACATGGCTAACCACCAAATGCAGGAAGAAAAACCTCTTTCTCCCTAGACTTCCAGGCTCTTCTGACCCTCCCCTTCCCTCCTCACCTCCAGATCCCACTTTTCCACGTGGGTCCTTCAGCTCTGTGATCTCCCTGCTAAACAGCTGTCAATCTCAGGCCAGTGACAGAGGAAGCACGGAGAGGAGACTTCACAGCAGTCTGCCCTCAGGAAATGCTATGTGCAAATACACACTCCCAGAGTAGCAATCCGGGGGGCAGCTCCTATAAGCTATTATGTTCAAAGAGTATCTGTACCACTATTTTTATTACTAATATTACTGCTGCTGCTACTACTGTAGTAGTACTACTACTGACTGCTGCCGTTATAATTTACCTTTAGATTCTGTTCTAGTCACATGTTAGTACTGTACTTATCTCTTTTAAATCTCACAAATCCCTATAAAGTTGGTTTTGTTGTTATTCCTGTTAATCATACCAGGATATTGATGTTTGCAGATCCTAACTAACTTGCATAAGGTCAACCCATTGGAAAAAGGGCAGAGCTGGGCTGTGACAAATCCAGATGAGTCTGAAAACTTGGAGGATTTTCCATACCTGGTGGGAAAAGAGGCTAATTAGCGTTGGAATCTACAGATGGGGTGTGCGTAATTGTTTTGTCATGGTTAGTTTTAAGGATGGCCAATTTCCCTCCCTGACAGCTCTTCCTTGTCTTCTCATTGTCCTGCAATGACATCAAACTCTTTCAAGTTGCTCACCATGGCCTCATAATTGGATCCTAGCTTACTTCTCATCTCACAACACTCTCTACACTGTCTTCTAGGGACTAGCTAAATTTGGGCAAGATCTTTACAGAAAATCACTCCCTGGAGGAACTCACTGAGCTACCTGCTTTACAGTTCTATTTGTTCTGTGTCATTTTAAGCTATTGCCTCAAACAGATTCTAAACTAATAGAAAGCAAAGAACATGCCTTCAGTCAAATTCATCGAGCTGCAGAGAAAAGGGAATGCTGATACACTGTTGGTGGGAATGAAAATTAGTACAACCTCTATGAAAAAGAGTGTGGAGATTTCTTAAAGAACTAAAAATAGAGCTAGCCTTTGATCCAGCAATCGCAGTACTGGATATCTACCCAAAGAAAAAGAAATCAATATATCAAAAAGAGACCTGCACTGGGCCAGGCGCAGTGGTTCACACCTGTAATCCCAGCATTTTGGGAGGCCAAGGTGGGCAGATCGCCTGAGGTCAGGAGTCCGAGACCAGCCTGGCCAACATGGTGAAACCCCGAAATTAGCCACGTGTGGTGGCAGGCGCCTATAATCCCAGCTACTCAGGAGTCTGAGGCAGAAGAATCCCTTTAACCTGGGAGGCGGAGGTTGCAGTGAGCCGAGATTGTGACATTGCACTCCAGCCTGGGCAACAAGAGTAAGACTTCAACTCAAAAAAAAAAAAGATTAAAAAAAAATACCTGCACTAGTCTGTTGATTGCAGCACAATTCACAGTAGCGAAGATAGGGAATACACTTAAGTGTCCATCACCAGATGACTGGATAAAGGAAATGTGTTATATATACACCATGGGATACTATTTAGCCATAAAAAAGAATGAAATTATCCCTTTTGCAACAACATGGATGGAACTGGAGGTCATCATGTTAACTGAAACAGGCTAGATACAGAAAAACAAATATTGCATGTTCTCACTCATAAGAAGATGCTAAAAAAATCATGTGTACCCATGGACACAGAGCATGGAATAACAGATAGTGGAGACTCAAAGGATGAGGGAGTGGGAGGGGTGAATGATGAGACATTACTCTAGGGGGTACAATCTATGTCATTTGGGTAATGGACACCCTAAAAGCCCTGACTTAACCACTATGCATGTAAAATAAATTGCACTTGTACCCCACAAATTTATATATATTTTTAAAACAGGTGGAGCATGGTGGCTCATGCCTGTAATCCTAGCACTTTGGGAGGCCAAGGTGGGCGGATCACCTGAGGTTGGGAGTTCAAGACCAGCCTGGCCAACATGGTGAAACCCCGTCTCTATTAAATATACAAATATTAGCCAGTGTGGTGGTGGGCACCTGTAATCCCAGCTACTTGGGAGGCTGAGGCAGGACAATTGCTTGAACCTGGGAGGCAGGGGTTGCAGTGAGCTGAGATCGCACCACTGCACTCCAGACGGGGCGACAGAACAAGACTCCATCTCAAAAAACTAAATAAATAATAAATAATAAATAAACTCACTGGTTGCTACTCTGGTTGCTTCTGAGGGTGGAGCGAGAAGGGACACATACAATGGGGTGCTCAGGCCTCCCCTAGGAACAGGGAGACACCCTCTGCAGTGGAGAAGGCGATGGTTGCTGAGACAGTCCTCGGAGGAGAACCCAGGACGGCTTCCCTGCAGAAGGAAGTGACTCAGCCGCGGAGGACTGCAGGATCAATCGGAGCAGATCAGGTAAAGGAGTGCAGGGGCTGGGGACAGAGCAAATCGCCAGGCTGGAGAAACAGCACACAGCAAAGCCGGAGGCCAGAAAGAGCGTGGCTGGCTGCAGAAGCTGAAAGTTCAGTAAGGCTGGGATTCCCAGATAAGGAAACGCAGTGTGGAGCCATGACGCTAGAAAGGTAAGTAGAGGCCGAGCTGGAAAGTTCCCAAGCCAGAATTTTGTTTTGTTTCGTTTTATTTTTGAGACGGGATCTTGCTCTGTCACCCAGGCTAGAGTGCAGCGGCACGATCATGGCTCTGTGCAGCCTTGACTTCCCCGGCTCAAGCGATCCTCCCACCCCAGCCTCCTGAGTAGCTGGGACCACAGTCAGGTACCACCATACCTGGCTGATGTTTGTGTTTTTTGTAGAGATGGGATTTCACTATGTTGCCCAGGCTGGTCTTGAACTTCTGGGCTCAACGATCCTCCCACCTCCGGCTCCCAAAGTGCTGGGATTACAGGCAGGACCCACTGCACCTGGCCTCAAGCCAGAGTTTGAACTTGATATAGTGGGCAATGGACCACTTGTGATGGTAAAATGCCTTATGCAGAGGAGTATCATGACCAGATCAATGTTTTTAAACAATCGCTATGTTCTCCATTTCTTTGGTTTTTATTTCTGATTTTTGAAATAAGTTTGTTTTTTATTTATACATAATAGATGTACATATTTGGGGGTACATGTAATCATTTAATTCATTCATATAATTTTTAGAGATCAAATAGGTATGATTGGATTATCCATCACCTTAAATATTGTTTTTTCCTCATAACACCTGAATTATTCTCTTTTAGCTGTTTTAAAATATAAAATAGATTATTATAAACTACAGCCACCCTACTGATCTTTCAAACACTAGGTCTTATTTCTATCAAACACTAGGTCTTATCCCTTAGATCAAGCTGTATCTTCACTTCTTTTGCATTTTCCTACGTGCTCTTGACTGCAGTTCTCCACGTAAGGATTTAAAGGCACAGGTTTTTAACGTTGCTAGATTTCCCAAGGAAATTTAAATTTGAATTTTTTTTTCTTTAGCTCTAGGTAGAAAGAGGCCAGAAAGGTGCATCCAACTCTAGAAAAGAAATTATCCCAAGAGTCAGGAAAGGCTGCCAGGAGGCACTGCAGGATCTACCCTTAGGATACTGTGTGGTCGGGTTGGTGAAAACCACGGCCCTTTGTGTTTAGGTTCAAAGCCACGGCCCTTTGTGCAGGACTCTGTGGAGGCCCTGAAGAAGTGGCTTCCAGGGGGGACAAGAATGGCTGTATTATAAGGAGACTAATCAGCCTATTGAGGAGTAGGTGTAGGGGTGTGGGAGAGTGGGGAGAGCTCAGGGTCCCTATAGTGTGGCACGTGTTAATAACAGCCAAAGCTTATGTAGAATTGATTCTATGCCGGGCAGTCTCCTGAGGACCCTCTACATGTATATCAGCTCAGTTAGTCCAATGACTCTGTGGCAGAGGGACCTTTATGAACCCCATTCTCCAAAGAAACTAACACCCAGAGTGGTTAAATAATGTGCCCAGGGCACCAAGCTGATGAGTAGCTGTGCTGGAGTCAAAACTGCACTTGCAGAGCCAACTACACCCGTTCCATCCCCAGCCAAGTCTGTATCCTGGGCGGCAGCCCTGTGACAATCAGAGGCTGTACCGTTCCCTCCACCCTCACGTCACTGCATCTCAGATCCAACCCTCCCAGTCCAGCCGCAGCTCTGATATTGGTCACCCAACTCTACTGCGGTGGAAGATGCCTCTCTCTAACTCCCCGGTCTCTCTATGATTCAAGAAGTGGGGCTGTGGTCCCATCCTGGGGAGAAATTGCACACAAGTGCACGCTGCTAAGGAAGAGGAAAGCACTCCTCAGTTGTACAGATAAATTGTTCACATGGCTTGTTCTCCGCCTCATTCCAGAGCCTCTGTTCAAAGGTCACCTCTTCCTAGAAGCCTTCCCTGACTGCTTGTCTGAAATTCACACACACACATACACACACAAACACACACTACTTATTCCCTAACCCTGCCTGGCTTTTCTTCAAGCACTTTTCATTAGCTAAAATTGCATGGACCATCTGTTTACTTGGATATTATCTTCCTTCCCGGGATATGACAGATATTCTATATAATATAACTGAAATTCCAGGATAGCAGGGCCTTGACCTTCCGCTGCTGTAACCCTAGCTCCTAGAACGTTGTCTGCCAATAAGAGGGCCGCTCAAGAAATTTTTTTTCAATTAATTAATTGAAAACATTGAAGAGCGAATGAAAGCGTTGTTGATTACCTCGCAGCCCCACCTCTGCCAGGGTTGCTTTAGCCCTGGAAGCATAGATCCTCTTCCTTCTCATCTCTTTCTCTCTTTTTTTCTTTTTCTCCTACCTCTGCTTCTACAAGCTCAATCGTGCAAAAAAAGGAAACAAAACAGTGCTTGGAGCTCTTCCTCACCCTCTGTTTCTGAGTCTACGCTGGCTGGCTGAGACTTGCTTCTTACTGTGTACGGGAGGAGAGCAGGGTGTGGATTCTGTCATGACCTGGTTCCCGCTGATATCCTGCCTGTCACCGTGAAACTGACTAAACACTTCCCAGATTTCCGTCCTGTGAAAAAGTGAGCTGCGTCATTCCCCAGCACGACGTGGGCCCGCGAACTCTTTCCTTTGGAGTTGTGTCCAGAGGGTTGTTGGGAGTCTGTCTAAAGATAAGTGGGGAGATTTGGAGAGCACACAAAATGAGTGTAAACCCCAAGGGATAGGAATTCCTCTGCCATCAGTGAGAAAAAAAACAAACCGGTGTGGGCTTTGCCTGCATTTCCCGTGGTGAAGGGAAGGGGAGCTCTCTCTCCCAGCTTGCCCTGCTGCTGGCCTCAAAGTCAGCTCTCTGTCAACTGTCTCCTCTGATCCTTCATCCCAAACAAAATCACAGAAGGCAGTGCAGGGTAAGAGAGGTTGGCCAGCTGGACTTTGGCCATAAAATGAAATCCAGGGCAAAGTTCTAAAATAAGGGAGGTCTGCTTTTGAAATTGTCATTGTTTTTCTCATTCTGGACTCCCCTACCACAAATTTTGCTCAACTAAAATGGAAAAACAGCAAGGCATCATCTTCATGTAAATATTGGAACACAAGGATGCTACCTAGAAGAAAAGAATACCCATGGAAGAAACCAACTTTGAGAGGCTTTTGTGTGTGTGTATGAGACAGGGTCTTGCTGTGTCACCCAGGCTAGAGTGCAGTGGTGCGATCATAGCTCACTGCACCCCCAAACTCCTGAGTTCATGCGATCCTCCCATCTCAGCCTCCTGCCTAGCTGATAGGCACATACCACCATGCCTGGCTAATTTTTAAATTCTTTTTATGGAGATCAGCTCTCGCTATTTTGCCCAGGTTGGTCTCAAATTCCTGGGCTCAAGTGATCCTCCTGCCTCAGCCTCCTGAGTATCTGGGACTGCAGGTGCACACCACCATACCTGGCTAATTTTTAAATTTCCTTCATAGAGATGGGGTCTTGCTAGTTTGCCCAAGCTGGTCTTGAACTCCTGGCTTCAAGTGATCCTCCCACTGTGGCCTCCCAAAGTGCTGGGATTACAGGTGTGAGCCTCCATGCCCAGCTGAAGTATTCTTCAAGAATACTCAACATGTGAGACATGTGAGCATTCAGAAGACATGGTAAATATTCAGTACCAAGTCTGAATAATAATAATTGTCATTAATATTATTTTAGAGACAGGGTTTTGTTCTATCACCCAGGCTTCAGTGCAGTCAGAATCATAGCTAACTGCAGCCTCAAACTCCTGGGCTCAGGTGATCCTCCTGCCTCAGCCTCCATGGTAGCTAGAACTACAGGTGCACACCACCATGTCCAGATGACTTTATTATTTTTATGTTGTAGAGACAGGGGTCTCTGTGTTGCCCAGGCAGGTCTCAAACTCCTGGGCTCAAGTGATCCTCCCACCTCAGCCCAAGTCTGAATGATAATAATTATTATTATTATTATTTTTCTTTTTTTGGATGGAGTCTCACTCTGTTTCCAGGCTGGAGTGCAGTGGCATCATCTCGGCTCACTGCAACCTCTGCTTCCTGAGGTCAAGTGATTCTCCTGCCTCAGCCTCCCGAGTAGCTGGGATGACAGGCACGCACCACCACGCCCAGCCAATTTTTGCATTTTTAGTAGAGACGGGGTTTTACCATGTTGGCCAAGATGGTCTCGATCTCTTGACCTCCTGATCCTCCTGCCTCGGCCTCCCAAAGTGCTGGGATTACAGGCGTGAGCAACCATATCCAGCCTGAATAATTATTAATAACACATATCTTTACCAGGTTTATGTGAATCACTGAACAGTTTATGTCAGTAAATTTTTAATTAGTATAAATTGTTATTTCTGTTTGGAATGTTTTAGGCAAAAGTTAACTAAATTGTTTGTCATTATATAATTATAATTATATATTACATATAATTATATAAATTATATATTACATATAATTATATAAATTATATAATATAAATTATTTTATATCACTCCAAATTCTTATTGTATACTTGGAGAAAATAGTTTACTCTTTATCTACATTTCAAAAATTTTTCGCAGCCCTTCAAGATCTCTGGACATGTTGCCTCACAATTTTCTTTGTCTTCATCCACAAAATTCCCTTTTTCTCCATAATAAACTTTTCATCACCAACAATAATATTTACTGAACAGTGTACTAAACACTTTCATCTTGGACCATAACTGTTCAGATTAACATGCTGTAGGAGCTTCAGATGGCCATAAAAATCCTCTTCTCCGTTAGGTTCTTTGGTTTTTGTCTCCAAATATTTCCTTCCCATTCATTTTATCACACGCCTTTGAACACTGGATTTTTCTCTAGATCTTCGACGTGTCTCCAGTCTGGACTCCTTTTTCCATTTCAACAGCTTTTTAAATAATGCAATTGAGACCACATTAAGAAATGTTTACATTGTCAACACCCTTTAAGAATGTATATCCTTAAAATGGAGTAAATATGAAGAGACCATACTCATTCAAATCCAAAATATAAAAGCCTCCTCACATTACATCTTTGAAGTATCAACATGCCATGAAAATTTTTTGTCTTGAGATCTTTCCCAACTGGGACTTATTTAGATCTAGCAATAACTTTCACCTTTTCTTCTAAACTCAAAGGAGTCTAGGGCAGAATTTCCACATCTAGACAAAACAGAATAATCATTTTTGTTCTCTCCCAGATCTTTTTCACCCTGAATAGCACTTGCCAGCAAGATGTGAAAAGGAAAAGTTTGCAAGCTCGGACCAACCATTCTGAGGGCTTTGATCTGTCTTTGATTTTGCAGCAATTGGTGCGAATGGTAGACATCTGATTCACCTGCCTTACTCATTCCTGACGCGCACCCTATACCAGCTGCTCTCCACTGACTTTGGTAAGTGCTCTGATGAGTTTTGTTTACCCAGACTTGAGAAGGAGATGTATAAATACAAATGACTGCATAACCACATTTTAGATAAGACATCCTTAAAACGCTCATCAGTAATGTTTTAGAAACTCTTATGGCTGTAGACCAATCTTTTGGAAACAAAATTGTTTCAAGCTTTGGGAAGGCATTTAAAATAAAGAAAAAGAAAAACTAAGCAAGATGAAATAGACAAATTAAAGCAAGAGATATTTTGCCTGCCCTTTTTATTTTTTAATTTGAGATGGAGTCTTACTCTGTTGCCCAGGCTGGAGTGCAGTGGTGAGATCTCGGCTCACTGCAACCTCCACCCCCTGGGTTTAAGTGATCCTCCCAAGCAGCTGTGCGTACACGTGTGTGCCACAACGCCGAGATAATTTTTGTATTTTTAGTAGAGACAAGGTTTCGCCATGTTGGCCAGACTGGTCTCGAACTCCTGACCTCAGGTGATCCACCTACCTCGGCCTCCCAAAGTGCTGGGATTATAGGCGTGCCACTGCACCCAGCCTCGCTTGCCATTTTTAAAACAACTTTTATTCTACCCCCTTTGTACTGTTTGGACTTCTGTTTACCATGTGCGTGTGTTGCCAGGTAAAAAAGAACTATGCCTTTTGGTTTTGTTTTTTTTTTTTTTTTTTTTTTTTTTTTTTTGTGTGTGTGTGTGTGTGTGTGTGTGTGTGTTTGAGACGGAGTCTCGCTTGGCCGCCCAGGTTGGAGTGCAATGGCATGATCTCTGCTCACTGCAACCTCCACCTCCCAGGTTCAAGCGATTCTCCCGCCTCAGCCTCCTGAGTAGCTGGGTGCCATCATGCCCCGCTAATTTTTGTATTTTTGTAGAGATGGAGTTTCACCGTGTTGGTCAGGCTGGTCTCGAACTTCTGACCTCGTGATCCACCCGCCTTGGCCTCCCAAAGTGCTGGGATTACAGGTGTGAGCCACCATGCCCAGCCCCAGAACTATGCCTTTTAAAGCCAAACCATATATCTTAATTTTCTTGCTCAAAGTAAAACAGAGCACATGTTACAAAAATGGAGAAGGAGAGGCTGCTAGTGGTGAAACCAAGTCCAGCACTGCCTTGTTGGTGAACGTTAAAGATTTCGCTGGAAACCTTGTTTGGGATACTTTGTCCTCCTGCCCCCAGCCCCAGCCTCTCCCAGGCACACCCCAACCTTCCCAGTCTCTAGCCCAGATCTCCTTCCTGCTCTCAGCTGTCAACTAATCTCTGCTAAGGTGGTCCATTTTTATTTATGTTTATATTTTATTAATTATATATTTTTATTTTTTATTCTTTTTTTTAAAGACAAAGTCTTGCTCTGTTGCTCAGGCTGGGATGCAGTGGCAAGATCTTAGCTCACTGCAGCCTTGATCTCCTGAGCTCAAGTGATCCTCCCACTTCAGCCTCCTGAGTAGCTGGGACTACAGGTATGCACCACCATGCTCAGCTAATTTTTAAGTTTTTATTAGAGATGGGGGTCTCACTATTTTGCTCAGGCTGGTCTCAAACTCCTGGCATCAAGTGATCCTCTCACCTTGGCCTCCCAAGGTGCTGGCATCACAGGTGTGAACCACCACATTTGGCCTAATTTTTAAAATCTATAAATGTATGTTTAAAGCAATGGTTAACCCTCGAGCCCTCTTTAAATGGATATAACAAGGGGAAGCCCCGGTTGATGCAAGGATTCAAACCCCTCCTTAGCTTCCTCTGGTGTGAATCGGAGGCTGGCAGAGAGGGCGAGTCAACGCATACATATTTGACAAAATGCAACAGTGTCAGTATATAGAGTTCCTCAGCTATGACTGGTTAATCACTGAGGCCACAGCGTGCTATGTGTCTGGCATCCTGCTAGGAATTGAGGCTACCAAAAACAATATCTGCTGCCAGGTCTCCATCCTAGAGGAGTTCCTATGCCAGTGTGGAAGATGGGCACATAAATCAATCATGACAGTTCCATGGGGTAAGTGGCTAAGACAGAGACGTGTCCAAATGTCCCTGAATCCCAGAGAGACGCTGTCCTTGAAGGATCTTAAACAGGAAAGATATGTGGTCAAAATACCACTCCTGGCAGCACCCTGGAAGATTAGAATCCAGGAGACCAGAGTGAATGCTCTGAGGACAGCCCGGACCAGAGCACATGGTGCAAGAAAGTGAGGGAGGGGCGCTGGGAGCAGGCAGAACTAGGTCAGTCCCCCATGGGATAAGTTATCTCCATGAAGTATGCAGTGTGTGTGTGTGTGTGTGTGTGTGTGTGTGTGTGTGTGTGAGAGAGAGAGAGACAGAGAGAGAGAGAGAGATGAGGAGTGAAAGCGATGTATGGAGGAGAGAAGGATGGGGGAGAGAGACAGGGAAAGAGGGAGAAATAGGTAGAGAGAGAAAGCGTGCGCGATAGAAAGGGAAATGGAGGAAGAGAAAGAAGAGAAAGAGACGCAGAGAGGGAGGGAAGAAAGGAGGGAAATGGAGAGAGAGAAGAGAGAGAGAGAGAGAGAAAGAGAAGGGGGGGAAGGAAGGAAATGGAGAGAAAAAGAAGAGAGACGGAGAGAAAGAAAGACGGGGGAGGGAGAGGGAGAAAGAGAAAGAGAGAAAATACTGCCCTCTGGTGGCTGACGGACAAAACTGAAGAATTATTAATAGTATTGTATGTGTTAAGTTGCTCATCTCCATTCTAAAAGGTGATCCCGCTGATAATGTCAGTCTTAAAGCATATAATTGAAAAACCTGGGGGAAAAATTGTTTTAACACATTCTTATATCTGAAGTCTGTGTGCTGATCAGCGGTGATAAACACACCACAGCCTTTACTCCTTATCTCCTCACATCTTCCAGCTGTGTGAAATATAGATTGCTTGCCTGCTAGTGAACTGTCTGTATTCAAGGATGGTTTCATAATTTCTATCAATGAAACCCTTCAATAATTTAGCTAACATAACTTTGGAAAGCTCAACAATGAGTCATAAAGAAAGTTAATATTGCCATCCATCCTGCAAAATACTTTCTTTATATGTTTGTGTATATGCTTATTGGTCTCAAAGTTAAAAACAATTTTAATAAATGTTATCCCATTATTTGCTATTAAATATTTAGATTCTGTTTTTTAAAAATATTTCACTGAACTGAATTTAAACAAGAAGAGCCTGGCTTGGTGCATGCCTGTATTCCCAGCTACTCGGGAGGCTGAGGCAGGAGGATCACTTGAGTCCAGGAGTTGGAGGCTGTGGTGAACTATGATTGCACCACTGGACTCTGGCCTGGGAGACAGAGGAAGGCCCTGTCTCTAAAAAATTAAAACAGATAAATAAAGATAATTGAAAATGATTATTTTTTTAAAAAACGATACCAAGCAACCACTCAAATAATGCTCACCAGCCCCCAAAACTGTATTTGCATGTGTGAAAATGCCCAGCTTTGTAAAGGGAGTCTGTAGTCTGTGTGTGTTAATATTCCCCAGAAACCAACCCAAGGCTTAGGAAAGAATAGAGAAATTTCCCCCTATTCTATGTATATTTGTAGCCATCATTTGAAATGTCTTAGGCACCTAAACCAAGCATGAAAAGCACAGTTTCATTCCAGCTTTATGAACTTTACGTCACATTAAACCAGAAGGCTCCCTTTTCTCCTTTATGTTTCTTCCATTTCTCAAATCAATTGTCAATTCTCAATCCAGAATTTAAGGGAGAAATTTAAAGAAAAAAGGGAGATAGATAAATTTAAAGAAAAAAATGAGATAAACTTCAACAATATTACAGACTTCAATTTTTTTTGTAACAAATTGTTCGCTGAGACTGAATTTTAACCAAGAATGGAGTGAGAAAATACTATATAACTTCTTTCTGGGTTTGAGTTTTGTTTCTTGTTTTTTTGAGCAACTAGCTTTCACTGTATTTATTCTGCCTTCTCTTAACCCAGCCAAATAGCCTGGAAACTTGGAAGGATGTCTGGTTTATTTTTTATTAATTAAAGAGAACGATAAAAGATAATACAAAAGATAATTTTTCAGTTTCCTGGACTCCAATCCCGTATATACTGGATGGAATCAAAGGTAAAATTAGATTACCATTGGAGAAGGAGCAGGATCCAGAGTGCACGGGAAGTTGGCTTTGGCTTAGAAATTATTATTTTGATGCTGTAAATGTTTCAATCTGACAACTCCCCCCACTTCCCAAGATTGTCATCAAATGTAGGAAAAGAAAGAAGTGAAAAATTACCTAGAACATGTATATGTATAACTGGGAATGTTGCCTCTCATTGTTTGAAAACATGACCTTTGTCCTTGCAGGGAATTCCAAATTCCTTGCCTGGAAACACGTTCTGAAAGGAGGTACAAGAGCACTTTGCAAACTATGGGATCAAAAAAAAACTGAACATAAATCTGATCGAACTCTGACACCAGTTTTCAGAACACACAGAGAGAGAGGAGCATGTTCCACACCATGTACTCACTAAGATCCATGCTGTGAGAACCTCTGCAGCAGCGGTCCCCAACCTTTTTGGCACCAGAGACCAGTTTCATGGAAGATAATTTTTCCACAGACCGGTGGGCGGTTGGAGCGGGGCTGGGAGGAATGGTTTTGGGACGAGTCAAGTGCATTACATTTATTGTGCCCTTTATTTCTATTATTACACTGTAATGTATAATAATTTTTTTTTTCTTTTTTTGAGACGGAGTCTCGCTCTGTCGCCCAGGCTGGAGGGCAGTGGTGTCATCTCGGTTCACTGCAACCTCCGCCTTCTGGTTCAAGCAATTCTCCTGCCTCAGCCTCCCGAGTAGCTGGGATTACAGGCCCGCACCAGAACGCCAGGCTAATTTTTGTATTTTTAGTAGAGATGGGGTTTCACTATATTGGCCAGGCTGGTCTTGAACTCCTGACCTCAGGTGATGGTGAAATAATTATAAAACTCACCATAATGTAGAATCAATGGGAGCCCTGAGCTTGTTTTCCTACAACTAGATGGTCCCATTTTGGGGTGACGGGAGACAGTGACAGATCATCAAGCATTAGATTCTCATAAGGAGCACGCAACGTAGATGCATCACACACACAGTTGACAACAGGGTTCCCGCTCCTATTAGATCTAATGCCACACTGATCTGACAGGAGGCAGAGTTCAGGCAGTAATGTGAGCAATGGGGAGCAGCTGTAAATACAGAGGAGGCTTTGCTCACTCCCCCGCCACTCACCTCCTGCTGTGCCAGCCCAGTTCTTAACAGGCCATGGACTAGTACCAGTCTGTGGCCTGGGGTTTGGGACCTCCGCTCTATAGAACAAACAATCCTGTTTTTATTTTTCAATAAATAAATACCAACCAAAAAAAAAGAGAGATGGGGAGGGAACCCACCAATTGAAATATATTGAAGAAACATATCAACAATTGTGATTTATGGATCTTATTTTGGATGTGAGTCAAGCCAACCATAAAATGTTATGAGACAGTTGTGAAATTTGAACCGTGGCTGGTTATTTTATTTCAACAAGGAAAGATTGATGATTATTTTTTCAGTGTAATCATGGTGTTTTGGTTATGTTTAAAATAAGGAGTCCTCGCTGGGTGCAGTAGCTCATGCCTATAATCCCACCACTTTTGGGAGGGTGAGGGAGGATCATTTGAGCTCAGGAGTTTCAGACCAACCTGAGCAACGTAGTGAGACCCTATCTCTACAAAAATTTTAAAAATTAGCTGGGTATGGTGGCACGTGCCTATAGCCCCAACTACTCAGGAGGCTGAAGTGGGAGGATCGCTGGAGCCTGAGAGGTTGAGGTTGCAGTGAGGTGTGATCACACCACTGCACAGCAGCCTGGGTGACAGAGTGAAACCTTGTCTCAAAAAATAAAAATAAAAAATGAAGAGTTCTTATCTTTCAGAGTGTTATCCTGGAACTGAAATTTGCTTCAAATAACCTGCAGGAGTGTGATCGGTATATATGATTCAAGACTGGCTGTGAATTAGTAACTATTAAAATCGAATGACAGGACCTTAAAGGTTCATTAATCTCCCTATTTTTGTATATATTCAAAATTTTCAATATCAAAGTGTTTAAAAGCAGGGGTTTGGGGAGGATGATGAACACCTGGAGCTCTCAAACACCACAGGTAGGAGTAGGAGTAGAGGTTGTTGCCACTACTTCAAAGAGCTATTTGGCATTTTGAAGTAGAATATGTGAATGCGTAATGCTGCCATTCCACTTCTAAGTCTTATTTATTTATTACTTATGTATTTACTGAAACAGAGTCTCACTGTGTCAGCCAGACTGGAGTGCAGTGGCACGATCTTGACTCACTGCAAACTCCACCTCCTGAGTTCAAGCAATTCTCCTGCTTCAGCCTCTCGAGTAGCTGGGATTACAGGTGTGCACCACCACCCCTGGCTAATTTTTGTATTTTTAGCAGAGAAGGGGTTTTACCATGTTGGCCAGGCTGATCTCAAACTCCTGACCTCAAGTGATCCACCTTCCTGGACCTCCCAAATTGTTGGAAGTACAGGCGTGAGCCACCGCGCCTGGCCCCGACTTACAGGGTTTTAGAAGACTGAAGCTCTAAGAGGCTGAATTACCATCAAATGGCTTTTTAAGCTTCCAGTCTATTGCCTTCTAATATTTTAAAATAATTGATTCCTATAAGAAATAACACAAGCGGCCGGGTGCGGTGGCTCACGCCTGTAATCCCAGCACTTTGGGAGGCCAAGGTGGGTGGATCACGAGGTCAGGAGATCGAGAACATCCTGGCTAACACAGTGAAACCCCGTCTCTAATAAAAATACAAAAAATTAGCCGGGTGTGGTGGCAGGTGCCTGTAGTCCCAGCTACTCGGGAGGCTGAGGCTGGAGAATGGCGCCAACCCGGGAGGCGGAGCTTGCAGTGAGCCGAGATGGCGCCACTGCACTCCAGCCTGGGCAACAGAGCGAGACTCTGCCTCAAAAAGAAAGAAAGAAAAGAAAGAAAGGAAAGAAAAGAAAGAAAGAAAGAAAGAAAGAGAGAGAGAGAGAGAGAGAGAGAAAGAAAGAAAGAAAGAAAGAAAGAAAGAAAGAAAGAAAGAAAGAAAGAAAGAAAGAAAGAAAGAAAGAAAACAAGCTACAGGCCAGGGGCGGTGGCTCACACCTGTAATCCCAGCACTTTGGGAGGCTGAGGCAGGTGGATCAACTGAGGTCAGGAGTTCGACACCAGCCTGGCCAATATGGTGAAACCCCATCTCTACTAAAAATACAAAAAATAGCCGGGCTGTGGGCATGGTAGCAGGCACCTGTAATCCCAGCTACTCAGGAGGCTGAGGTGGGAGAATCGCTTGAACTCGGGAGGCGGAGATTGCAGTTAGTCAACATTGCACCACTGCATTCCAGCCTGGGTGACAGAGGGAGACCCTATCTCAAAAACAAACAAACAAAAACAACAATAAAAATAACGCAAACTACATTTAATGAGGCAACGTGATGATAAACTGTCTGCAAGGACTATAAATGTTATTTTTTTTTTTTTTTTTTTTTTTTTTTTGAGACGGAGTCTCGCTCTGTCGCCCAGGCTGGAGTGCAGTGGCGGGATCTCGGCTCACTGCAAGCTCCGCCTCCCGGGTTCACGCCATTCTCCTGCCTCAGCCTCCCAAGTAGCTGGGACTACAGGCGCCCGCCACTACGCCCGGCTAATTTTTTGTATTTTTAGTAGAGACGGGGTTTCACCGTTTTAGCCGGGATGGTCTCGATCTCCTGACCTCGTGATCCGCCCGCCTCGGCCTCCCAAAGTGCTGGGATTACAGGCGTGAGCCACCGCGCCCGGCCTATAAATGTTATTTTTATGTTTTGTTATTATGAGATATTTAGGGTACATAAAGTATATAGGTTTACAGGAATATCTTACATAAACAAGAATGCATGTTGTATGTAATAATGGAAAATTGGATGCAATATAAATATATATCAATGGAAGAATAGCTTAAATGAAGTGCAAAACGCTCACTCAGTGGAATACTGTGCAAATATAAACATGAATAAAATAAATATTAACATGGGTAATTTCCCAAAACACAGTGTTGAATGAAGAAAAGTAGTTGCAAAAAAGACAAATTAAGTATGATAGATAACAAAGACACAAATGGAAAAAAGCAAACTCTACTAGGGAGGAAGGACAGGGAATGTACATGATACTAATCCACGGGGTGTTACAATATATGCACCATTTTTTCTTTCTTAAGCTCAATGGTAAGTGCATATATATTTGTTATGTTTTTTCTACCCTATTTTGTACTCCTCAAATATTTCATAACAAACAAAATAAGAGAAAAAAAAATGAACAAGATGATGACTACTAGCCAGCTTCAGTGACGGGCCAAGGAGTAGCAAGAAAGAGACAGCAGCCAGTCAGCTTGTCACATGCTCACTCATCAAAAAGAGTTTATCTTTCTTATAACATCAGTTGTTGTTGTTTTTCATCGAAAGGCAGCTTTCCGGGTGTAAAAACTCAATTTGCAGAGAAACAGGACCTCTCTGGACTTTATTACTTTGTGTGTAAAAAGAGCAGTGGAGGATTTGTGGGAGGATTCATCTACCCATCTAAACTACAAGACCTGGAGAGAATATATTGGCAGAGCACCTTCAGATGCTCAGATGACAGATGTCAAACGTAAATGTCCATCGACAGATGCTTTCACAATGTATCTCTATACTACAGGCACAGAATGTTAGAGTTGGAAAAAAACTGAGACTTAGAGTTCTAGTTGTAACCAGCCTAGAACTGTTAAGAGACTGGGTTTCCCTCCCCACTCCTGTTCTGTATCTGTTAAGTTTCCCATTAGTATCCCAGAGAGCAACAATTCTGAAATGACTAAAAACAGTGTAGTAGCGCCATCTACTGAACCTTAACTAATTCTACACAGAAACTTGGAAATGTCCTGAAGTCTGGAAAAAGTAGGCTGAAGTAAAGCATAAAACATAAGCACAATATAAGCCTCGAAAGAACTTTTATAATTAACTTATTTACTTTATTCCTTAACACTAATTAAAATATTAAAGTGGAACGTGTAACATAGCAATAATGTAAAAGCTGTATTTCAATTCATGAGTTTTTTTTTAACAAACTACTAAACTTTTACAAACTGCCACACTATTATAATTTGACTCAGAGAGGCACTCTTAAAATGTCTTTACTTCAAAATGGTGTGGATGCTTAGCAAGTCGCTTTCAGGGAGAGAGAACCCGAGTTTGTAGCATTTGTCTGTTTCTGTGGTGTGAATAGCCTAACCATTGTCAATTTCAACATGGCGTCACTACTCCCACAGATGCAGGAATGACATCTGTTGCCCACAGATGTCAATTTCCTCATGGAGTCACCGACCATGGCACTGATTGGCTCCAGAATATCTTTGCAAGTGCTTGGGCACACTGCTTGGTTCTAACTTAACAGTGGAATGCGTACTGAAACAGCAGATCACTTTGCATTTCCAAACGTTAATTTTTCCATCTGCGAAAAGGATGATATGTTTGGTGCAGAAGTGATTGCGGTTTTTGTCATTATTTTCAAAGGCAAAAACTGCAATTACTTTTGCACTAGCCTACTAAATAATCACTAAGATGTTTTCGAATTATACGATTCGAATTACGTAAACAAAAATGTTCCTTGGTAAATGAAGACTGGGAAAGCAGCACCAGACCTTCTTAAGGTCTGTCTGTGTTGAAGGACAAAGGATATTTTAAAAGTATCTTTCTCTGAGTAAAATTATAGTAGTTGGCAAAAGATTAGTAGTTTGTTTAAACAAACAAACAAAAAATCCCATTGGTCCCTCCCTTGCTGGGCCTAAACAGGGATTGGAAATACTTCCTCCCGCTCTGTTAGGGGAGGGTACAAAAAGACGCGGTGCTGCTGATTTTGTTACTAATATCTGTGAGGGAAGGAGCCAGCAGGGTTCAAAGTCGCAAAGAGAATTAATTGCACTCATTTGAGGAAAATTTAAGTTATTCCTTGCAAGTCTGCCCTAAACCTTCCTAAAGAATAAGGGCCTTAGAATGATAAAAGCTTATTCCCAGCCCTCAAAGAGCTGAGGCGCAATCTGACCTGGCCCGTGTGTCTCATTGCAAAACTGCACCGCTAGTAGCAGGATCCGAAAAGGACCAGCGAAGAGAAGGGAAACCACAGAAATGATTGACAGGGTAAGGCTGTGTCTGGCTTCACTCTGCGCGGTTTTGCTGAAGAGGATACTGAGGAGGAGAGGCGCGGGCTCCAGGGTTCTAGTAATGAGAGGTGACAGCATGCTGGCAGCCCTCACAGCCCTCGCTCGCTCTGGGCGCCTCCTCGGCCTTGGCGCCCACTCTGGCCGCGCTTGAGGAGCCCTTCAGCCCGCCGCTGCACTGTGGGAGCCCGTTTCTGGGCTGGCCAAGGGCAGAGCCGGCTCCCTCAGCTTGCGGGGAGGTGTGGAGGGAGAGGCGCCCGCGGGAACCGGGGCTGCACGTAGTGCTTGCAGGCCAGCACGAGTTCCGGGTGGGCGTGGGCTCGGTGGGCCCCGCACTTGGAGCGGCCGGCCCGCCCGCCAGCCCCGCCAACCCCGGGCAGTGAGGGTCTTAGCACCTGGGCCAGCAGCTGCTGTGCTCGACTTCTCGCCGGGCCTTAGCTGCCTCCCAGTAGGGCAGGGCTCGGGACATGCAGCCCGCCATGCCTGAGCTTCCCCCCTCTTCCCCCCGCCCCCACCATGGGCTCTTGCGCCACCCGAGCCTCCCTGATGAGCACGCCCCCTGCTCCACGGTGCCCCATCCCCTCGACCACCCAAGGGCTGAGGAGTGCGGGCGCAGGGTGGGGACTGGCAGGCAGCTCCACCTGCGCCCTCGGTGAGGGATCCACTGGGTGAAGCCAGCTGGGCTCCTGAGTCTGGTGGGGACTTGGAGAACCTTTATGTCTAGCTAAGGGATTATACATACACCAATTGGCACTCTGTATCTAGCTCAAGGTTTGTAAACACACCAATCAGCACCCTGTGTCTAGCTCAGGGTTTGTGAATGCACCAATCGGCACTCTGTATCTAACTACTCTGGTGGGGACTTGGAGAACCTTTGTGTCCACACTCTGTATCTAGCTAATCTAGTGGGGACGTGGAGAACCTTTGTGTCTAGCTCAGGGATTGTAAACGCACTAATCAGCACCCTGTCAAAACAGACCACTCGGCTGTCTGTAAAATGGACCAATCGGCTCTCTGTAAAATGGACCAATCAGCAGGATGTGAGTGGGGCCAGAAAAGAGAATAAAAGCAGGCTGCCCCAGACAGTAATGGCAACCCGCTCGGGTCCCCTTCCACACTGTGGTAGCTTTGTTCTTTCGCTCTTTGCAGTAAATCTTGCTGCTGCTCACTCTTTGGGTCCACACTGCCTTTATGAGCTGTCACGCTCACCGGGAAGGTCTGCAGCTTCACTCCTGAAGCCAGCGAGACCACGAACCCACCGGGAGGAACGAACAACTCCAGACGCGCCGCCTTAAGAGCTGTAACACTCACCGCGAAGGTCCGCAGCTTCACTCCTGAGCCAGCGAGACCATGAACCCCACCAGAAGGAAGAAACTCCGAACACATCCGAACATCAGAAGGAACAAACTCCGTACACGCCGCCTTTAAGAACTGTAACACTCACCGCGAGGGTCCGCGGCTTCATTCTTAAAGTCAGTGAGACCAAGAACCCACTAATGCCGGACACAGTAACTTCCGAAGTGTAGTGTTAGCAGTGTGTCTCCAAGGCTGAGGGAGGAAGCCTGCCAGCTGATTCTAATGTGCAGCCACAGGTGAGACCATAATCTCCTTACCCATTGTCTTTTTTGATGATTATTTGCTTGTTTTCAGTTTACAGCTATTAGAAATAATCTCCTATGAACATTCTTAGGCACGTCTTCTGTTGCTTGCGTGTGGTCATTTTAGCTGGGCCTATACCCAGCTAAAATAGAATTGCTGGGTCATAGTTAAAGTGAGCATATATTTAAGTCAGCCAAACTGGGACACTCTTGAAAGGGTGCTTTGGGAGGCCGAGGCGGGCAGATCACAAGGTCAGGAGTTCAAGACCATCCTGGCCAATATGGTGAAAGCCCATCTCTACTAAAACTACAAAAACTATCCGGCGGTGGTGGCGGGCGGCCTGTATGTAGTCCCAGCTACTCGGGAGGCTGAGGCAGGAGAATCGCTTGAACCGGGGTGGTGAAGGTTGCAGTGAGCCGAGATCACACCACTGCACTCCAGCCTGGGAGACAGAGCAAAACTCTGTCAAAAAGAAAAATAGAGAAAGAGATGATTTATAAAATAATTAACATTTATTTTTTGGCCATCAAATTGATTTAATACATCGGTAGACCTATGAAAAGATTTTGATTCAAAACTAGTTTTCAAAATTAAAATCCCTTCTAAAGTACTAAAACAGCCTAAATCCATGTAGATTAAAGAAAAATTTAAAAAACTATTTATGTTGAAAATCTGATTTAAAAAAAAAAGACTCTTTTTTTTTTTTTTTAAGACAGAGTCTTGCTCTGTCACCCATTCTGGAGTATAGTAGCGTGATCTTGGCTCACTGCCACCTCCATGATTCTTCTTAATACACATTCACATATATAAATTAGTTTTAGCCACATCTAGTATTTTTTTCTGAAGATATATATTTTTTAATATGGTTTTATTAATATTTTTTGTAAAATTACTCGCAAAATTTTATCAAAGTTGCATCTTATGCTTACTAATTTGGTTGTTGATGCCTTCAACTGACTTCTCCATCGAATGTATTTTTAATTCAGAAATTGCTCTCTCTGTGGGTGCTGCAGTATCTTGTAAACTGAGAACAACATCTATGAAATGATGGATAATCTCAATTTTAGTCTTTGTCATATTGAAACGTACAAATATTTATGCCCAGTATTTCCTACAGATTCTTTTTTCTCTGTTCAGAGTACTTTTCCTCAACAAATACTTTTATAAGCAAAACTCAGAAGATAAGTTGTCTCTATTTATAATTTTTATTTTGCCATATATATTTGCAACAAAATTATAGGCCTTCTCAATTCCCATTCCTTCCTTCCTTTTTTTCCTTCTGCCCTTCCCCTCTTCCCCCGCTTTTCTTGACAGGGTCTTACACTCTCATCCAGGCTGGAGTGTGCAGTCGTGATCTCAGCTTATTGCAACCTCTGCCTCCTGGGCTCAAGCGATCTTTCCACCTCAGTCTCCTGTGTAGTTGGAACCACAAGCGTGTGCCACCACACCCGACTAATTTTTGTATATTTAGTAGAGACGGGGTTTCACCATGTTGTTCAGGCTGATCTCAAACTCCCAGACTCAAGCGATCCACCCACCTTGGCCTCCCACAGTGCTGGGATTATAGGCATGAGCCAACACGCCTGGCCAATTCCATTTATTTCTGATATAAAATACAAACATATCCAGTTAAAATAGAAAATTCTGTCAAACATGTCAATGTATCCAAAGTAATATTTTAGAATTTCAAAATTAAGTCTTACTCAACATTTGAATTTGTTCAATTCCCCTCCCTCCCACTGTTTTTACAGGGATGAATTTCAGTGCCTTTCTGGGTACAAGCTTGATTTTGTTTTTCTTTTTTCAATAGCAGGGTCTCACTATGTTGCCCAGGCTGGACTCCTGGGATCAAGCCATCCTTCCACCTGAGCCTTCCAAGTAGCTGGGGCTACAGGAATGAGCCTGATTTTCAATAATTGCAATTTGCTAAGCTTTTAAAAGCTCCAGGTTTTGGTGACCAATTTTTGAACCTTTTCATTAAGATTTCCAACAGATTCTGAACAGAATGCAACAAAAATTCAGAGATTATCTTCCAAAATGTCTAATAGTATTGCAGGACAGTTTAGGTTCATTAACAATTATTCAAATGCACAAACATTTCTAAAACTTGAACATGATGGACAGCAAATAGAGAAAGATCATGCGTATGTCTGTAAAATTTTGACAAGTTTATCTTCCATTTAGATTGGTAGAAAACCATTTCTTTATTCTAGTAAAATATACATAGCAAAAAAAATACCATTTTAACCATACCAATTCAGTGGTGTTAAGTACATTCATAGTGTTGTTCAACCATCACTACTATCTACTTCCAGAACTTGTCACCCTCCCAAACAGAAATTCTGTACCCATTAAACACTAACTCTATTTCCCCCTCCAACCAGTGCCTGGTAACCTCTATTCTATTGGTTATAAATTTGCCTGTTGTAGATACCTCATAAACGTGGTCAAACAAGATTTGGTGGTTTTTGTATCCAGCTTTTTCACTTAACATAATGTTTTCAAGATTCATCCAATTTGTAGCATGTATCTGAATTTCATTCCTTTTGAAGACAATAATATTCCATCGTATGGATAGACCACATTGTGTTTACCAATTCATCTGTCGAAGGACATCATATGGTTTCCATGTTTTGGCAGTTGTAAATAAGCAACTATGAACATTTGTACACAAGTATCTGTTTAAGTTCCCGCTTTCAATTTTTGGGGGTATATACTTAGAAGTAGAATGGCTGGATCATAGGGTAATGTTTAACTTTTGTTTAAAGTTAAGCAAAAAGTTTAACTTTTTGAGGAACCCACATACTGGTTTCCACAGTGGCTGCACCATTTTACAGTCCCACCAGCAGCGTATGAGGGTTTTAATCTCTCCACATCCTTGCTAACACTTATTCTTTTCCATTTTAAAAGTAATAGCCATACTACTATTCACAAGAGCAAAGACTTGGAACCAACCCAAATGCCCATCAATGGTAGACTGGATAAAGAAAATGTGGCACATATATGCCGTGGAATACTATGCAGCCATAAAAAAGGAGGCGCTCATGTCCTTTGCAGGGACATGGATGAAGCTGGAAACCATCATCCTCAGCAAACTAATACAAGAACAGAAAACCAAACACCGCATGTTTTCACTCATAAGTGAGAGCTGAACAATGAGAACACATGGACACTGGGAGGGGAACATCACACACCAGGGCATGTTGGGGGGTGGGGGGCTAGTGGAGGGATAGCATTAGGAGAAATACCTAACGTAGATGATGGGTTGATGGATGCAGCAAACCACCATGGCACGTGTATACCTGTGTAACAAAACTGCACGTTCTGCACGTGTACCCCAGAACTTAAGGTATAATAATAAAAAAAAGCCATACTAATGAGTGTTAAATGGCACTTCACCGTGGCTGTTATTTAGATTTCCCTGATAACTACTGATATTTCATGTGCTTAATGGTCATTTGGATATCTTCTTTGAAGAAATGCCTACCCAAGTCCTTTGCACATTTTTGAATTGGGTTATTTAGTTGTTGTTCTTGAGTTGTAGGAGTTATTTATATCTTCTGGATATTAATCCTTTTTCAGATGTATGACTTAACAAATATTTTCACCCATTCTGTTGCTTGTCTTTTCACTCTCAATAGTTTCCTTTCATGCATAAAAGAATAGCACATTTTTGACACATTAACAAACCATGTGTACACTGCAAACAATTCCAGCTACATTTTTACTCTATAGGCTTTTTAATAGGAATATTGTTTTCACCCCAATGCAATCAAAATTTGTATCTGTCATCACTATGAAAATACTACCTTTGATGCTGAATATTTTGAAGGAATTTATAATAGCATTAATCATCATATCATATCATTTCCCTTTGATAGAATGAATTCTAAAAGCTTTACTTTGATTCTGTGAATTAGAGATAAAATTCAGCCATTATTAAAATCATTCTCTGTTTGAGATACTGATGACATTGCTATAAAACAAGCATCATTTAATTGTTTGCAAAGTTCCTGTTCTGCTAATGAAGCCAACTCCCTGACAGCTATCACTTCCCTTTTTGTGCTTGCATAAGAACATTTGAAGTTTAAAAATGGGTGAAGGCCAGGTACGGTGGCTCACGCCTGTAATCTCAGCATTTGGGGGGGCTAAAGTGGGCAGATGACTTGAGACCAGGAGTTTGAGAGCAGCCTGGACAACACCGTGAGACCCTGTCCCTACAAAAAATAGGAAAATTAGTCGGTAATATTAGCGCATGCCTGTAGTCTCAGCTACTGGGGAGGCTGAGGTGGGAGGATCACCTGAGCCCAAGGAGGTTGGGGAGGTTGAGGCTGCAGTGAACCATGATAGTGCCACTGCACTCCATCCAGGACAAAGGTAGTAAAACTAATTTGCAATGGACATTTCATCTTCATGAAAAGTCATGCTTTGTGAGTGCCATGTAAACTGCCCTTTTGTGACTTTTTGTGTCTGTCCTTCCTAAGATGGCTACCACTTCAATATATTAATATACAGAATAGTTCTTCAGACCATTTGTTTCTTCAGGTTGTTGTGTGATCAGTGATACCACTATGCCCTGTGATGGATAGTTGAAGTCAACAAATATGTTGTGAAAATACAGTAAATCATCACTTAACATCATCAATAAGTTCTTGGACACAGCAACTTTAAGCAAAACAACATGGAATGAAACCAGTTTGACCATAGGCTAATTGATATGAACAAGAGTTAAGTTCCTATGACATATTTCTGGTTACAAAAACATCACCAAACTTCTAAACAAAGACCCCAAAATGCTAATATTAAACATTGAAATAAGTGTGAGCTATACATACATTTGAGAAAGATTAATAAAACCAAGCAGGATGATTATTTACTCCAGTATTCCAGGTTAGGGTCACAGGTGGTACGAGCTTATCCCAGCAGCTCAGGATGCAAGGTGGAAACTACTGCTGGGCAAGATGGCAACCTGTCTCAGGACAGACTCAAACAAATACCTACACTCACTCGGACTGGGACCATATAGACAAGCCAATGACCCCATTGTGCACCTCTTTGGGATGTGGGAGGAAATCAGAATATCTAGAGAAGACCCACACAAACATAGGGATAACATGCAGACTCTACACAGACAATGGCCCCAGCTGGGAGTCCAGTTTGTTTCCTCATCAATGTTACGATGATGATGAACAAAATGGCCTTATTTCAGGACCCACTGTAATACATTCGTCGTCAACTTCCTTCAGAAACTGAAATATAGTACTTAATTTTTTATTAAATATGCATTTCCACTCATTTGAGCTCATTGCTTCCAAGAGAATTTATTGTGGAATAAAAAAGTATTACCAAATAATGACATAAATAAATGAACAGTTGTAGATTTACATCGTGTAATACATAACAAAGTCACCATAGCAAAATCATTTCGACTACTCTTCATTTATTCTTTAACAGGATGGCTCAGCCTCTACTTTCTGCTCATATTTCAAGTACATCTAACCTCTAGTTTCTCAGCTTTCCTACTGTCTATGCCAACTGGCAGTTTAATGATTTCCAGTTTCTTTCAGGCTAACACCTAAGGGCTATGGCACAGTTGACTGTTGTTACATCAAATGGCCAGCAGGGGCAGCATTTCAAGAACTTCTTTCACTATAATTCAAGGCTGGAAGAAGAAAGTTATTCCTACACTTCTGTGCCCCAGAATTTTTTTTTCTTTTTTTGTCAGTGAGCACTCTTCATGCTATTCATCAAAGAGAAATTTTAGTTATGCGGCATCAGCAGAGAGATAGGGAAAGAAAGACATGTTATCTCTGATTGCCTTTAAGAGAAAACAATGTGTTAAGTACCAACTCTATGTAAACTGCATGTGTGTTCCATGCTACTAAACAAGATCATGGTTAAAGTTAGAAGAATCAACTCAAAGTCCACCAAACCTATCCTGGATTATTTTAATGCAACCATTAATGACAAAATTTTATTTAAAAATGAAGAAGTCCAGGACAAATACTGAACTGAACAGCGTTTTGAGAAAGTATGCCTAAATCAAAACTGTTCAGGAAAAACCAGGTCACAGTCACCTAGTCACAGAGAATGCACATGTTCATCTTCAGAGAATACTGATGGTTTGCCTAAGGGATTGTCGGAATTTCCAATCCCACCAACAGCATACAAGGGATACAATTGCTTTATGCTTTTGCCAACATTTGATAAATGATATCATATTTGTCATTTTAATTTTGACCATTCCGGTAGCTATACAGTCAAACCACACTGTGGTTTTATTTTTTTAACCTGGTTAAAAATGAGATGGTTAATGAGATGAACACATATTGATATTTTCACTGACCTAGTAGACGTGCTCTTGTTTGAGGTGCCTACTCAAGCCCATTTTTTCTATCGGGTTGTGTGTATATATGCATATTTTTGTTATTGATTTGTAGGAGTTTTTTCTATATTTAATAAGTCACTCATTAGTTATGAGTTGTAAATTACATGTTAAATTTATATGTTAAATAATCGTTAGGGTCAGGTGCTGTAGTTCAGGCCTGTAATCCTAACACTTTGGGAGGCTGAGGTGGGAGGATAGCTTGAGCCCAGGAGTTCAAAACCAGCTTGACCAGCATAGCGGAACCCTGTCTCTACAAAAAAAAAAAAAAAAAAATTTAGCTGGGCATGGCATCGGGTGCCTGTAGTCCCAGCTACTCAAGAGGCTGAGGTGGGAGGATCGCTTGAGCTCGGGGGGGTCAAGGCTTCAGTGAGCTGTGATCACACCACTTGTATTAGTCCATTTTACAATGCGGATAAAGACACACCTGAGACTGGGTAATTTGTAAAGAAAAAGAGGTTTAATAGACTCACAGTTCCACATGGCTGGGGAGGCCTCACAAACATGGCAAAAGGTACATCTTACATGGTGGCAGACAAGAGAGAATGAGAGCCAAGCAAAAGGGGTTTCCCCTTATAGAACCGTGAGATCTCGTGAGACTTATTTACTACAATGAGAACAGTATGGGGGAAACTGCCCCCATTATTCAGTTATCTCCCACCAGGTCCCTCCCACAACACGTGGGAATTATGGGAGCTACAATTCAAGATGAGATTTGGGTGGGGACACAGCCAAACCATATCACCACTACACTCCAGCCTGGATGACAATGAAATCTCATCTCAAAAAAAAAATTGTTAAATTCACATATTATGTCCAATAATTTGTATAACAAATGAATTTTGTTATACAAAATGAATTTTTGATGAATTGCTCTATTCATCAAAGAGCAATTCATCAAAAATTCATTTATGCTCTTTGATGAATAGCATGAAGAGTGCTCAGTGACATTCTTTTAGATTGTTTTATACATATAACCATGTAATACGTGAAGATGATAATTTCTTTATGATCTTTATACTTTTCTTGTTTTATGCCTTATACATACCTTATTGCACTGACTATGACCTTATTGCATTGACTATGACCTCCAGTACAATGCTGGATAGAAACAATGTTAGTGGAGAAATCCCCCTACAAGGAGAAAACAGTCATGATTTCACCACTAAGTCTAATGTTACCTGTAGGGTTTTTTGTAGATGCCTGTAACCAGATTAAGAAAGTCCCATTCTACTCCTATTTTACTGAGATTTTCTTTAATCAGAAATTTTATCAAATGATTTTTCTGTATGTATTAAGATTATCATGTTTTCTTTATTAGTTAATTTAGTGGATTACATAGGCTGATTTTAAAATTTTCAGCTAATTTTGCATTCTAGGAATAAACCTCACTTGGTCAAGATTCATTATCCTTCTTTATATAATTGGACTAAATTTGCTGTAATATTGTTTTGGATTTTTGCTTCTCTGTTCATGAAAAGTATAGGCCTACAATTGTCTTTTCTTCTAATGTACTTGTCAGACTTTGTATTAAAGTTATACCAAACTCATTTAAAAACTTGAAAAACATTCCCTTTTTTGTCCTCTGGTAGAGTTTGTTTAAGATTGGTATTGCCTTTTTCTTAAATGTTTGGAATAATTTATTAGTAAAACCATATGGTATATATTTTTCTATGTTGGAAGTTTTTTTTTTTTTTTTATTTGAGATGGAGTCTCACTCTGTCACCCAGGCTGGAGTGCAGTGGCGTGATCTTGGCTCACTACAAGCTCCACCTCCCGGGTTCATGCCATTCTCCTGCCTCAGCCTCCCAAGTAGCTGGGACCGCAGGTGCTGCCACCACGCCCCGCTAATATTTTTGTATTTTTAGTAGAGATGGGGTTTCACCGTGTTAGCCAGGATGTTCTGGATCTCCCGACCTCGTGACCCGCCAATCTCGGCCTCCCAAAGTGCTGGGATTACTGGCGTGAGCCACCACGCCTGGCCTGTTGGAAGGTTTTAAATGATAGATTCTAAGTAGTTGATATACATAATACTATTTTTTTTCTACTACTTATTCTGTCAGTTTGGGTAAGCTATCTTTTTTGAGGTATTTACATACTTTTCCAATTTATTGCAAAAAAAGCTGTCCATAAGGTCTGTCAACATATTTTTTAATAACTGTAAGATCTACGGTGATGTTCCCTTTTTATTCTTGATCCTGGTTGTACCTTCTCCTTACCTCTTTTTCTCTCTTCCTTCCTTCCATCTTTTCCTTGATCTGTCCTGCCAGAGGTGTATTCATTTTATTAGTCTTTTTTCTTTTAGTACATATGTGCTGGTAATACATTCTCTCTAAAAATATCTTTATTTTATAATAATTTTAAAGGATATTTTTACTGACTGTAGAATTCTAGGTTTCCAGTTAATTTTTTTCGTCACTAGGAAAATAACATTGCATTGAATTCTGGCTTTCATTGTTTCTGTTTTGAGGTCAGCTGTCAATCTTATTGTTGTTTCTTTGGGGGTCATATGTTTTATTATCCTCAGGCTGCTTTTAGGGCTTTCTTACTGGCTTTCTGTTTTCTTTAGCAGTTTTATTATGTGTCCCTTTTATTATGTTGTTCCTTTGTGTTGACCTTAATAGGGGATTATAATGCCTCTTGAGTCTGATGTCTTTTTTCAATAGAAACATAGAAATTTATTTTGCTTCCTTTTACATTGTTCTGACTTTGAGTATATTTAATGAAACATTTCTTCCCACATATGAGTGCAGGGGGAAAATGAGAATGTAACTAAAGAAATAGAGATTAAAATAATAATTTCAATAATGTTAGCTGGCTCACACTGTTAAAACTGACTGATATTTTATCTTAGTCCCAGAAAAGTTCCCAGGAGTAGAAGCAAATACAGTATATGCTTTTCTTCAACTGACCATTAAAATCCAAAACATTTACTACAAACATGTTTGTAAATATGTATATGAAAATCAAATTTGGACATGTTTTGGTCTCATTTGAACTATGACCTCTGTGTATTATAAATCTTACTTTGAAAATTCATTGTTATGGTTACTTATTATTGGCTGCTTTGATTAACACAATTCTTCACTTCGATAAGATAAATTCCTGCCAGAATGTCAAGATTCACAAGTTACCCAAAATACTATAATTTCACTGAAATAAAGCAAAATGTTTCAGAGTAGAAATCTGGAAGAAATCCAGAATTTAAGAAGATATTACCTTCGATGAGCATAATTTCTATGCAATAAGGTTCTGTTCCATTGTATTCATAGATTTCACAGATGCCTTGAAATAGCTTCTTTTCCTCTAAGAGAACATGAAGAAAGCTAAATATCTGTAGAAATTCCTGAGAAAGTGTGTTTAAATGAAACTGTGTAAAAATAAAATGAACAGAAAAAATATAATAACTTCATTTCTGATAAGGCTGAGTTTGAGAAAAATATCTAATCCATTTCCCATTTGTCCTGAAAATACTCTCCGGCGGCTCTCGTTTATCCCAAGATAACTCTGCCATGAAATATCACACTTATTATTATTTTCACATAGCTCTAGTATATCAATCTTGGAAACAAAAGACATCATTCTATTTATAGCATTCTGGCTTTAGTAGTGGTATTTCCATTTACGAAACATAGTAATTCTCGATCGCTGAAAATGTCAAATCCTAGAAAGTGTAGCATTCCTATGCATGATGTTAACATTGTTCTAGAACAGTTGTTGGTCACGGATTCATTTAATGAATCCCATTTTTCTAAAATAGACAATCTGACGATTCAGAATTGAATTTTTTTTCGTTAGTTTTTATGTTAGTTCTGTTTAGAAATAATTCCAAGAACAGTTTTTTGTTTTGGGGTTGTTTTTTTTTGAGACAGAGTTTTGCTGTTGTTGCCCAGGCTAGAGTGCAGTGGTGCCATCTTGGCTCACTGCAACCTCCGCCTCCCGGGTTCAAGCGATTCTCCTGCCTCAGCCTCCTGAGTAGCTGGGATTATAGGTGCTCGCCACCACGCCTGGCTAATTTTTGTATTTTTAGTAGAGACGAGGTTTCACCATGTTGGCCAGGCTGGCCCCAAACTCCTGACCTCATGATCTGCCTGCCTCGGCCTCCCAAAGTGTTGGGATTACAGGCATGCGCCACTGTGCCCGGCCCAAGAACAGTTTTTATATTTTGTTTTCACATTGAAAATCAGTCAGATTGGCTTCAGCCTCAAAGAATGTGTTTATATAAAATCAAATGAGGCTGGGTGCAGTGACTCATGCCTGTAATCCCAGCACTTTGGTAGGACAAGGCAGACAGATCACTTGAGTTCAGGAGTTCGAGACCAGCCTGGCCAATATGGTGAAACCCTGTCTCTACTAAAAATACAAAATTAGCCAGGTGTGGTGGCAGGCATCTGTAGTCCTAGCTACTCAGGAGGCTGAGACAGGAGAATCGCTTGAATCCAGGAGATGGAGGTTGCACTGAGCCAAGATTGTGCCACTGCACTCCAGCTTGGGCGATAGAGTGAGATCCTGTCTTAAAAAAAAAAAAATTATATATATATATATATATAATAAAAATATAAAAATAAAATCAGTGCTGGCAGTGAGCTGCACTTTTTTCTAAATGGGAAAAGGGTTAAAAAGAGCTTTCTAATATTCCACCTGAAATCTAAACCTTGGGACAACTTTCCCGAGGGAGAATTTTCATCTGCAGAGCAGGCACTGTTCCTCCAAAGTGCTGCCTAACACATATTCGACCACAGGAGTGAGGAAAGAAGGAAACAATTCCATAATTTACAAGGTAGACTGTGTGTGCTTGCCTCATGGAAAACTGAGGCAGAAACCAATACACTTTTGGGCAGGTAAGCCAGAGGCAAAGGGAAAGAGTTAAGTTATTCCTACTTAGTTCCTTTTTCCAGTCTCACTGATTAAATAAGTCACTTCCTCCCTCAGATAAAAGAGCAGACAGTAGTTCCTCCTATATGAGATAAGCATTCTCCCTAAATAAGTAATATAGACACTAAGGAGCATTTTTTTCTACCTGATCCCCAAGTGGAAAGCTCAGTGAGGTTTTTTAGTGCATGCCTTAGGTTGTCTAGAAATTCCTGAAGACTTTATCCAAAATTCTTCAGGTTGTGAAAAACCTACACAAAAGCAAATATATTCAAATTTTGATTTAAAAAAAAAAAACATGTTTGGAGAGAGAGCACAAAGAAAAACTAAGCAAATTGGTCAGAAAAGGAATTATAGAAAGTAATAATGACTGAGCTGAATTATGAAGAATAAAATAAGTATTCAAAATCCCACTGGGGAAAACAGAAGTGTAGCTGGTAAACTTGGGCAATTCATGACTTTTTACTGCTTTATACTTCTTAGCGACACAGTGAGAGTGGATTAGATGTTCTCCAAGATTTCTTCTAACTCTAGTAATCCCTGTTCCTGAATTGGTTAGTAAATCCCCTAGATTTGTATGAACTATATGTTTCTTTTTTTTTTTTTTGGTGGGGGATGGAGTCCTGCTCTGTTGCCCAAGCTGGAGTGTAATGGTGCGATCTCAGCTTACTGCAACCTCCACCTCCCGGGTTCAAGTGATTCTCCTGCCTCAGCCTCCCAAGTAGCTGGGATTACAGGCATTTGCCACCATGCCCGGCTAATTTTTGTATTTTTAATAGAGATGGGGTTTCACCATGTTGGCCAGGCTGGTCTCGAACTCCTGACCTCAGGTGATCTGCCTGCCTCAGCCTCCCAAAGTGCTGGGATTACAGGCTTGAGCCACCACGCCCAGCCTGAGGACCACGTTATGGACTGAATTATGTTCCCCCACAATTCATATGTTGGAGCCCTAATCCCCATTACCTCAAAACATGACTTAGTTGGGGATAGGGCCTTGAAAGAGATAACTGAGTTGAAATGAGGCTGTTAGGCTGAGCCCTAGACTAATCTGACTGGTGTCCTTATAAGAAAAGGAGATAAGGACTCAGAGACACCAGGGGTGCATGTGTAACCTTGTGAAGAGGCAGAAAGAAGGTTGTCATTTGACATGCCAGAGAGAGGGGCCTCAAAGGACCCAAACCCTGTAGGCACCTTGATCTTGGACTTCCAGCCTCCAGAAATGTGAGAAAATCAATTTCTGCTGTTTAAGTCACCCAGTCTGCCACATTTTGTTTACACAACTCTAGCAAACTAATATGATGAGAAATCTGAAATTAAACCTAATTAAACCAGGCCACCTTGATGCTGGTCTTAGCAGAGTGGCACAAAGAAAAGGAACATATATAACTTCGAAGAGATTAGAAAAGTAAGATGAGTGTTTACTAAACATCCCAATAGGAGGCAGCAAAGGAGAAATTGCATTATACCACAAAAAGTCTTCCTCTAAAAATCTCTTAATTCATTTCTTACCCAAAAGTCCCACTTCTCATGGCACCTGCTTACAATTTCTCCTGGTCTTTTCCTTCTTCCCTCAAAATACAAAATGAAAAGCCCCTTGAAACTCTTCTTCTAAGAGATTTTTTATCCCTTCTGAATGTCTATGCACTTTCTTTTTTTTTTTTTTCTTCTTTTTTTTTTTTTTTTTTGTTTGAGATGGAGTCTTGCTTTGTCACCAGGCTGGAGTGCAGTGGCATGATCTTGGCTTGAGTGATTCTCGTGCCTCAGCCTCCAGAGTAGCTGGGACTACAGGCACATGCCACCACGCCCAACTAATTTTTTTGTATTTTTAGTAGAGACGGGGTTTCGCTGTGTTGGCCAGGGTGGTCTTGAACTCCTGACCTCAAGCGATCCTCCCGCCTTGGCTTCCCACAGTGCTGGGATTTCAGGCGTGAGCCACCACACGTGGGCTCTATGCACTTTCTTATACATCTAAATTCAAAATTCTCTAGACATCTTCCAATCCTCTATGCCCATCTTCCATCAGTACTGCAAAAACCCACTAGTAAACCCAAGTTGCCCTTAAGTCCTTTCTCCTTAAAAGCCAAGAAAGAGTGGAGAATTTCCAATACATTTTGACAAAATCAAAGCTATTATCTTAGCTTTAACTGTCTCATTTAGAACAATTCAATATTGTTTGGAAAGTGAAAAATTTAAGAAATCAGGTTTGGAGGGATGGTTGTGTAAATTGCCAAAACAACAATTTTATATTTTTGCTGTGTTATTTAATCTGCTTTTTTTAAAATTCACAAATTGCCACTTGTTTGAGTGAATCGAAATATCGAAATAGCTGTTTTTATTTCACATTGAGTTTAAAGTAAATATTGAATCATTCAACAGCAAAATTGAGGCAACATTATGTTTTGTAATTAAATGATTCAATGAAATAAGTAAGTTTATTGGTTTAAGAAGACAACCTATAAATTATTGGTTTAAGAAGAAAACTAATTTAGGGAATAACAGGAGATTCCTGTAATGAAAATGATGTTTTGAGGAGTGTGAAGCGTTCTCATGAGTCACTAGAGATGTTAAATGCTTTACAGTTTTCCAAACACGAAGTCCACAATTCTAGGTCAGGGCGTGTACACTTCCTTAGCACTTAGATGCCAAAAACAAGAGAATCAGCAGTTAGTTCTCTGCCAGCTGGAATAAGAAATTATTCTAATATTAACAGGTAATTGTACTTATAATAGACTCTCCAATGAAAATAAAGACGGTTTACATAAGGAGAGCTGGCAAAAGAAAAGGATCTATTCAAGAGTAATCAGCAAGAATTTGAGCAGCTATGGAAACTACCAGCCAATTCCAGTAGAAAGTATAAATGATACTTTCCATTTCAGGGAAATATATATATATCTCAATGATTATTCATCAAAACATGAAGCCAGGCAACTGTTAAATATTCTGTTTTATAGAGAATCACGTGAGCGGAATTCCAGTTAGAAACCTAGCCAAGAGACAAGTAATACCTGGTCTTAGCTGTTCAAGTGTTTTATGCCATCACAAGAGTAATAGGGGATAAAAGAAAGAGGAAGATTTTGCACCTATAAAAGGCAAAGTAAAACCTGGAGAGCTTAGTGATCCTGTGTATAGCATTCTAAACTCTTTAAACTTTGTTTAAGCAAGAATTCTGCCAATTACCAATGAAGTAGGGGTTTGGGTGGGCCTAAAGGGAAATCTAAATCCACATCACCAGTCCTCCAGACGACTTAAGAACAGGGATGTCATGTTATTTGTCCTCAAAGATTTACCCTAGTAGGCCTTCAAAATGTATTTGTTTAATTAAATTACATTAAATCCAATGGTATGTACCAAGCCTAAGATTTCGTATAGGAAAAGACAGAAGTTTTTTTGTTGTTGTTGTTTTTGAGATGAAGTCTCGCTCTGTCGCCCAGGCTGGAGTGCAGTGGCGTGATCTTGGCTCACTGCAACCTCCACCTCCCAGGTTCAAGTGATTCTCCTGCCTCAGCCTCCTGAGTAGCTGGAATTACAGGCGCCCACCACCATGCCCAGCTAATTTTTTTATTTTTTGTAGAGATGGGGTTTCACCATGTTGGTCAGGCTAGTCTCAAACTCCTGACCTCAGGTGATCTGCCCACCACAGCCTCCCAAAGTGCTGGGATTACAGGCATGAGCCACCACACCTGACAGAACTTAAATACATAAATAAATAAATAACAGACACTGGGGACTCCAAAATGGGAGAAGTCAGGAAGAGGGTGAGGGTTACAGAAATTACCGGTTGGGTACAAGATTCACTTTTTGGGTGATGGGTATGCTAGAAGCCCAAACCTCAGCATTATGCAGTATACCTATATGACAAACATACACATGTACACCCTGAATCTAAAATAAATAAATAAATAAATAAAACCCAATACCAGTGATGGAATAACAATAAGCACACAAAGTAAACTAAGTATATGCGCCATGTCTCTGCCCAACAGAAACTTTAAAACAGTTATTCTGGGATCAACAAAAATGTGAAGCACAAATAGAAGAATATCAAGAACCATGCTGATTTGTTTGAGTTTGTTGTAGATTCTGGATATCAGTCCTTTGTCAGATGTATAGATTGTGAAGATTTTCTCCCACTCCTTGGGTTGTCTGTTCATTCTGCTGACTATTCCTTTTGCCATGCAAAAGCTCTTTAGTTTAATTAGGCCCCAGCGATTTATCTTTGTTTTTATTGCATTTGTTTCTGGGTTTTTGGTCACGAAATCCTTGCATAAGCCAATGTCTAGAAGGGTTTTTCCAATGTTATCTTCTAGAGTTTTTATAGTTTCAGGTCTTAGGTTTAAGCCTTTAATCCATCTTGAGTTGATTTTTTATAAGGTGAGAGTTTCATTCTCCTATATGTGGCTTGCCAATTATCCCAGCATCATTTGTTGAAAAGAACTTCCTTTCCCCACTTTATGTTTTTGTTCACTTTGTCAAAGATCAGTTGGCTGTAAACTGATAACCCCAAATGGATTTATTTCTGGGTTATATATTCCGTTCCATTGGTCTGTGTGCCTAGTATATACATCAACATAGGATCCAAGCATTGCAAGTTTTAGCATTGTGGATAAATCATAGACCAGATCAGAGAAAGCAGTTTAACTTCTGAATGCAGAGCAAAGGGCAAGAATGCAAAATGACAAAGGGAACTTCTAATCAAAGTGATGATCATCTTGAATCCAGCTGCCACTCTACCCCCAGTGCTTCTCATTCTCATCATTGACTCCTGAATTTCCATCAAGATAGGAAAAATAATAGTAAGCCCTTTTGTTGAGTTGTTAACCATTTGGCAGTTGTAGTGCAAATCCTCACAATACCGTCGGAGGGGGACACCATTAACCGCACTTTGTAGATGAGGAGGTCAGCTCAGGAATTAACTTGAACCCAGATCTGTCTTGACTCCAAAACCTGTGCTCTTAATCGCCATCCTAGACTGCCCCATAGCCTAGGTTGCTTGTTGACATCTCAAGTTGAAGGTGGCCAATCTCATAAAACTCACACTGTCCAAAGAGTTAAGACATAGGTCCTTCATCTCATGCTAACCTGCCCCTTATCTCTGCCTCACGGCTGGAAGTAAAGACCGGGATGCTGACAGTTGTCCTTCTTCACCAAGTAGTTGTGAGATAAAAATGAAATCATGTATATATTTCCACCAGCCTGATTTTTTACAGTCACTAGTATCTTACACCACGGTCCACAGAACGTGATGGTCAGAAGTATAAACCATGGCCCCTAATTTTAAGATGCTTTCAGTCTAGCTAAGGAGGCCAGAGAGGGAGGACATCATGTGAATAATTGCTAAACAATTTGACATGGCCTGTGAAGGCTGTGCCCGCCACTAGAAACCAGGGCTTGTTTACGGTTCACCCTCAGCAGCTAGAATGGGGCGAGGCACGTAATCAAACCTCTGTGCATATTTATTGAGTAAATAATAATAATGAAGACCAGACGTAGAGGCTCACTTTGAGAGGCCAAGGTAGGAGGATTGTCTGAGGCCAGGAGTTTGAGACCAGCCTGGGTATCATAGTGATACTATGATACCCAGTGAGATTCTATCTCTACCAAAAAAAAAAAAAAATTAGGCAGACATGGTGGTGCACCCCTGTAGTCCCAGCTACTCAGGAGACTGAGGCAGGAGAATCACCTGAGCCCATGAGGTCGAGGCTATGGTGAGCCATGATCGCACCACTGCACTCCCACCTGGGCAACAGAGCAAGACCCTGTCTCAAATAATAATAATCATAATCATAAATTAGTCAATTCAGACGAGTTAATGCACTTCGGGAGCACAATACTATTAACAATTGATTTTTGGCTGGGCGTGGTGGCTCACGCCTGTAATCCCAGCACTTTGGGAGGCCGAGGTGGGTGGATCATGAGGTCAGGAGTTCAAGACCAGCCTGGCCAAGATGGTGAAACCCCGTCTCTACTAAAAATACAAAACAGTTAGCCAGGCGTGGTGGCAGGTGCCTGTAGCCCTAGCTACTTGGGAGGCTAAGGCAGGGGAATCGCTTGAACCCGGGAGACGGAGGTTGCAGTGAGCCGAGGTCACGTCACTGCACTCCAGCCTGGCAATACAGCAAGACTCCATCTCAAAAAAAAAAGATTTTTGAACCTAAAAAAGATTTTTTTTGTCATATTCTATGTCATTTCCCACATATACCCCCAAAGCCTACATGTATAAATAGTATAAGATGGAAATGGCATCCTCTCACACACTGAAAAAACAACTACCGCCACCTCTTCTTTGTCCTTTTCATATCTAATGACAGATTGGTAAAATTGAAGCTGGAAGGGACCCCACAGATATTTGATTAAACCTCCATTGGACAGATGAGGAAGTTGTCATCCTAAGAGATCAAGCAGCTTCCCAGAGGGCTCACTGGCCCCAGATCCAAGATTTGGAGCCATGCATTCTAATGTCCATGTCAGGACCATTTCCACTCCCTGGCCTCTCATTCCTAGCTTGCTGCCTTGTTCCTTCCCAAGCACTCTCCTACATCTCCTTCTAAGGTGGCTTCATCCTGGCCCTTGTCATCATCTGAGGTCATAGCAGATCCTACCTTTCTGCCTCCTAAGCACCGATGCCATTTCACTCAAGCAATTTCAACAAGCCTTGTTGCTGTTTGTATAGAACAGCAACAATTGCCAGGCTCTCTAGCACTGCCTGCCGTCCAGCATCCACTCTTCTGCTGTAGACATCAGTATTCACCTACATCACACACGTGCAGACACACACATGCACGCAGCCACTCTATCCATGGCTTCCACCCAGCCATCCTCACCACCTGGGGACTCCGGGTGAGTCTACCAGCTCTTCCTCACTTCCCCCTTTGCCTGACACTTTCTAACCCAGCTTCCTCCCTCATTTATTTCCCCATTTCTTAGGGCAGTATGCTAAAAAGTCCATGGTTCCCATAATTGTGCAAACATCAGAACTTTTAAAAACAATCCAAGAAATAGGACTTCAGTTTTTGGAAATACAGTGTAGATAAGATAGCCCGAAACCTTCACACTAAAAGTACCAGATAAAATATAAAAATCACCCCTTTTTACATGCATGCCTACATGAACTTAAAAAATAGTGAAGTTGTAAGTTTTCTGAGGCCAGAACACAAGTTCATTTAGGGTAAGTGGAACACAGAAGCCAAGTGTTACCTTGGGGCACCTACTGATGCCAGGTGACCCAGAGCAGAGAAGATGAGCAGCAAAACCAGGAGCTTGTGAGGGCAGAAGTCGGATTACAGGGCACACAGGGCTGCAGCTTCAGAGAAAGCATCAAGGAGAAAAATCCCTGTCCTCGTGGGAGAAATAGCAGGGAAATGACTGTGACTGCGAGCGGTGAGAGTCGCACCCATCATCATTGTGTCCCCAGGAAGCCCTGGGCCATAGATTCACTCTGGAAGACCACAAGCCAGGAATTTTCTGCTAAAAGGACATCAGCAGAAGCAGGTATAATTGCTCTCTGGAGGACCGAACCCTCAACCCATTTTGACACTCAGGAAACCACAATCTGAGATTTTATTTTAAAAACAGGTTACCTCACTAGAATGGATTGGGTCTTCCATGTGGCCTGAACTGTGGTAGGCCTCCTTTGGCCAAAATTGACCACCCTAGATATCCTGGGAAAACACAGAAACCAGAGACAACTAGGCTCCCAACTGGAGTGGATTTTCTTAATTCCTTGATTTCTAGACTTGCCGGTGGCAACTGTCATTTTACATGTAAGTGGCTGTCTATTGGAGACCCCACAATTCTGACATCCACACAGTGATCCATTTACAATCAGCATTTAAAAAATCACATTACATCATTAGCATGCCTTTCTTTTTTTTAATTTTTGTGGGTACATAGTAGGTGTATGTATCTATGGGGTGCATAAGATATTTTGGTACAAGCATATAAGTGTAATAATCACACCATGGAAAATGGGTTATCTAACCCCCCAAGCATTTATGCTTTGTGTTACAAACAACCCAGCACTCTTAGTTATTTTTAAATGTACAATTATCATTGACTATATCTCCCCCATTGTGCTATCAAATACCAGGTCTTATTCATTCTTTCTAACTAGATATTTTTTGTACCCATTAACCATCCCCACCTCATCCCCAACCCTGCATTACCCTTCCCAGCCTCTGGTAACCATCCCTCTATTCTCTATCTCCGTGAGTTCAACTGTTTTGCTTTTAGATCCCACAAGTAAGTGGGAACATGTCATGTTTGTCTTTCGGTACCTGGTTTATTTTACTTAACATGATCACCTCCAGTTCCACCCATGTTGTTGCAGATGACAAAAACTCAATCTTTTTTATGGCTGAATAGTACTCCGTTGTGTATATGCACCATGTTTTCTTTATCCATTCATCTGTTGATGGACACTAAGATTGCTTGCAAATCTTTGCTATTGTGTGCAGTGCTGTAACAAATATGGGAGTGCAGCTATCTCTTCAATACACTGATTTACTTTTTTTTCAGTATATACCCAGTAGGCAGTGGCATGGCTACATCATATGGTATCTGTATTTTCAGTTTTTTGAGGCACCTCCAAACTATTCTCCATAATGGTTGTACTAATTTATACTCCCACCAATAGTGTATGAGAGTTCCTTTTTCTCCATATCTTCACCAGCATTTGTTATTGCCTGACTTTTGGATAAAAGCCATTTTAACTGGGTTGAGATGATATCTCATTGTAGTTTTGACATGCATTTCTCTGATAATCAATGATGTTGAGCACCTTTTCATATGCCTGATTGCCATTTGGATCTCTTCTTTTGAGAAATATCTATTAAGATCTTTCACCCATTTTTAATGGCATTATTAGATTCTTTTCTATGTCATTGTTTGAGCTCTCCATATATTCTGGTTATTAATCCTTTGTCAGAGGGGTAGTCTGCAAATATTTTCTCCCATTCTGTGGGTTGTATCTTCACTTTGCTGATTGTTTCTTTCACTGTGTCGGAGCTTTTTAACTCGATGTGATCCCATTTGTTCATTTTTCACTTTGGTTGCCTGAACTTGTCGTGTATTACTCAAGAAATTTTTGCCCAAGCCAATGGCCTAGAGGGTTTTTCCAACGTTTTCTTATAGGTGTTTCATAGATTGAGGTCTTAGAGTTAAGTCTTTAATCCATTTTTTTTTATTTTTTTGTACAGTGAGAGGTAGGGGTCTAGTTTCATTCTTCTGCATGTGGATATTCAGTTTTCCCAGCACCGTTTATTGAAGAAACTGTCTTTTCCCCAATGTATGTTCTTGGCACCTTTGTCAAAAATGAATTCACTGTAGGTGTATGGATTTGTTTCTGGGTTCTCTATTCTGTTCCATTGGTCTGTGTGTCTGTTTTTATGTCAATACTATGCTGTTTTGGTTACTGTAGCTCTGTAGCATAATTCAAAGTCAGGTAATTGTGATTCTTTGAGTTTTGTTCTTTTTGCTCAGGATAGCTTTGGCTATTCTGGGTCTTTTGTGGTTCCAAATAAATTTTAGGATTGTTTTTCCTATTTCTATGAAGAATGTCATAGGTATATTGAGAGGAATCACATTGAATCTGTAGATTGCTTTGGGTAGTATGCACATTTTAACAATATTCATTCTTCCAATTCATGTACATGGAATATCTTTCCATTTTTTGTGTCCTTTTCAATTTTTTTCATTGGTGTTTTGTAGTTTTCATTGTAGAGATCTTTCACTTCATTTGTTAATTCCTAGATACTTAATTGTATTGTGGGTAGTGTAAATGGGATTACTTTTTAAATTTTTCACATTGTTCACTGTTGGCATATAGAAATGCTACTGGTTTTTCAATGTTGATTTTGTATACTGCAACTCTACTGAGTGTTTTTCAGTTCTAATAGTTTTCTGGTGGAGTCTTTAGTTTTTTCCAAGCATATAGTCATATCATCTACAAACAAGGATAATTTGACTTCTTCTTTTCCAGTTTGGATGCCCTTTGTTTCTTTTTCTTGTCTGATTGCTCTAGCTAGGACTTCCAGAGCTCTGTTGAGTAACAGTGGTGAATGTGGGCATCCTTATCTTGTTCCAGATATTAGAGGAAAGGCTTTCAGTTCTCCCCCATTCAGTATGATACTAGCTAAGGGTCTGTTGTATATGGCCTTTATTGCGTTGAGGCATGTTCCTTCTCTTCCCAGTGTTTTGAGGGGTTTTATCATCATGAGATGTTGAACTTTGTCAGATGTTTTTTTGGCATCAGTTGAAATGATCATATGGTTTTGGCCTTCATTCCACTGATATGATGTATCACATTGATTTGCGTATGTTGAACCATTCTTGCATCCCAGCGATATATCCCACTTGGTCTCAAGAACGATCTTTTCAATGTATTGTTGAATTCAGTTTGCTAGTATTTTGTGAAGGATTTTTGCATTAATATTCATCAGAGATATTTACCTGTATTTTTTTTATGTGTCTTTGTATGGTTTTGGTATTAGGGTAATACAGGCCTTGTAGAAAGAGTTTGGAAATATTCCCTCTTCCTGTATTTTTTTATAACAGTTTGAGTAGGATTGGTATTAGTTCTTTAAATGTTTGGTAAAATTCAGCAGTGAGGCTGGGCACGGTGGCTCACGCCTGTAATCCCAGCACTTTGGGAGGCCGAGGCAGGTGGATCACAAGGTCAGTAGATCGAGACCATCCTGGCTAACACGGTGAAACCCCATCTCTACTAAAAATACAAAAAATTAGCGGGGCATGGTATCAGGCACCTGTAGTCCCAGCTACTCGGGAGGCTGAGGCAGGAGTATGGCATGAACCTGGGAGGCGGAGCTTGCAGTGAGCCGAGATCGCGCCACTGCACTCCAGCCTGGGCGATAGAGCGAGACTGCGTCTCAAAAGAAAAACAAACAAAAAAAATTCAGCAGTGAAGCCATCAGGTTCTGGCCTTTTCTTTACTGGGATACTTTTTATTATGGCTTCAATCTCGTTACTTATCATTGGTCTGTTCAGGGTTTGGATTTCTTTATGGTTCAATCTTAATAGGTTGTATGTGACTAGGAATTTATCCATTTCTTCTAGATTGTTGAATTTATTGGCATATAGCTGTTCATATTAACCACTAATGATCCTTTGAATTTCTGTGGTGTTAGTTGTCGCATATCCTTTTTCATTTTTTATTTTATTTATTTGAGTCTTGTCTCTTTTTTCCTAGTCTGGCTAAAGGTTTGTCAGTTTTATTTATCTTTTCAAAAAACCAACTCATTTCATTGATGTTTTGTATTGTTTTCTTCATTTCAAATTCATTTGTTTCTGCTCTGATCTTTACTATTTCTTATCTTCTATTAGTTTTGAGTTTGGTTTCCTCTTGCTTTTCTAATTCTTTAAGATGCAGCATGAGGTTATTTATTTGAAGTTTTTCTTCTTTTTTGCTGTAGGCACTTCTAGCTACAAATTTCCCTCTCAGTACTGATTTTGCCCTATCCCATAGGTTTTGGTCTGTTGTGTTTCCATTATCATTTGTTTCAAGAAATTTTTCAATTTTCTTCTTAACCTCTTCATTGGCCCACTAGTCATTCATTGGCATATTGTTTAACTTCTATGCATTTTTATAGTTTCCAAAAACTCCTCTTGTTATTGATTTCTAGTTTTATCTCATTTTGGTCAGAGTAGATGCTTGATATTATTTCAATTTTTTTGAATGTTTTAAGACTTGTTTTGTAACCTAACGTATGGTCTATCCTTGAGAATGATCTATGTGCTAAGGAGAAAAATGTGTAATCTGACGCCATTGGATAAAACATTCTGTAAATATCTATTAGGTCCATTTGTTCTACAGTGCAGATTAAGCCCAATGTTTCTTTGTTGATTTTCTGTCTGGGAGATCTGTCGAATGCTGAAAGTGGGGTGTTGAAGTCTCCAGTTATTATTGTATCAGGGCCTATCTCTCTCTTTAGCTCTAATAATATGTGCTTTATACACCTGGGTGCTCCAGTGTTATGTATATATGTGTTTACATTTGTTATATCCTCTTGCTGAATTGACTCCTTTGTCATTACATGATGACCTTCTTTGTCTCTTCTTACAGTTTTTGCCTTGAAATCTGTTTTGTCTATCTTAGTATAGCCACTACTGAACTTTTTTGGTTTCCATTGGCATGGAATATCTTTTTCCATCCCTTTATTTTCAGTCTATGTGTATCTTCAAAGGTGAAATGTATTTCTCATAGGCAACAGATCATTGGATCTTACTTTTTTGTCCATTCAGCTACTCTGTGTCTTTTGATTGGAGAGGTTAGTCCATTTACATTCATTGTTATTATGATAAACAGGAACTTATTGCTGCCTTTTTTGTTGTTGTTTTCTGGTTGTTTTGCAATCTCCTTTTCCTTCTTTCCTTTCTTCATGTCTTCCTTTTAGTGAAGCTGATTTTCTCTGGTGGTATGCTTTAATATCTTCCTTTTTATTTTGTGTGTATCCATTGTACGTTTTTCAGTTTGAGGTTACCATGAGGCTTGCTAGTAGTTTCTTATAACCCAATATTTTGAATTGATAACAACTTAACACTGATTGCATAAACAAACGTGCAAAAAGAAATCTAAAAAAACTATACTTTGTCTCTTCACTTTTTAACTCTTTGTTGTTTCTCATCATATCTTATTGTACTGTCTGTGTCTTGAAAAGTTGTTGTAGTATTTTTTTTATTGGTTCATCATTTAGTCTTTCTACTTAAGTCATAAGTAGTTTACACACCACAATTACAATATTATACTATTCTGTGTTTTTCTGTGTGCTTACTATTACAGTGAGTTTTGTAGCTTCAGGTGATTTCTTTTTGCTCATTAACATCATTTTCTTTTTTTAACTTGTATTTTAGGTTCACAGTTACATGTGCAGGTTTGTTGTATAGGTAGACTGGTGTCATAGGGGTTTTTTTTACAGATTATTTCATCACCCAGGTACTAAGTGTAGTACCCAATAGTTACTTTTTCTGATCCTCTCTCTCCTCCCATCCTTTATTCTCAAGTGGACTCCAGTGTCTGTTGTTCTCCTCTTTGTGTCCATATGTTCTCATCATTTAGCTCCTACTTATAAGTGAGAACATGCAGTATTTGGTTTTCTATTCCTGCATTATCTTGCTAGGGATGAGGGCCTCCAGCTCCATCTATGTTCCTGCAAAAGACATGATCTTGTTCTTTTTTATGGCTGCATAGTATTCCATGCTGTCTATGTATGTCTGTGTACTTTTTCTTTATCCAGTCTAACTAATTTTCTTTCAGACTGAAGAAATCCCTTTAGCACTTCTGGTAGGAAAGGCCTGGTGTTGATGAAATCCTTCAGCTTTTGTTTGTCTGGGAAGGTCTTTATTTCTCCTTCAGGCTTAAAGGATATTTTCACCAGACATACTATTCTAGGGTAAAGGTTTATTCCTTCAGCGCTTTAAATATGTCATGCCACTGTGTCCTGACCTGTAAGATTTTCACCAAAAAGTCTGCTGCCAGACATATTGGAGCTCCATTGTATGTTATTTTTTCTTTTCTGGTGCTGCTTTTAGGATCCTTTCTTTATCCTTGACCTTTGGGAGTTTGATTATTAAATGCCTTAAGGTAGTCTTCTTTGGGTTAAATCTGCTTGGTGTTCTATAACCTTCTTGTACTTGAATCCTGATATCTTTTTCTAGGTTTGAGAAGTTCTCTGTTATTGTCCCTTTGAATAAAATTTCTGCCCCTATCTCTTTCTTTACCTCCTCTTTAAGGCCAATAACTCTTAGATTTGCCCTTTTGAGGCTATTTTCTAGATCCTGTAGGTGTGCCTCATAAGTTTTTGTTCTTTTTTCTTTTGTCTCCCCTGACTATGTATTTTCAAATAACCTGTCTTCAAGCTAACCAATTCTTTTGTCTGCTTGCTCCATTCTGCTATTAAGAGACTCTGATGCATTTTTGAACTCTAGAATAGCTACTTGATTCTTTATTTCAATCTCTTTTATCTGATAGAATTCTGAATTCCTTCTCTTTCTTATCTTGTTTTTCTTTGAGTTTTCTCAAAACAGCTATTTTGAATTCTCTGTCTGAAAGGTCATATATCTCTGCTTTTCCAGGTTTGGTCCCTGGTGCCTTGTTTAGTTCATTTGGTGAGGTCTTGTTTTCTTGTATGGTGTTGATGTTTTTAGATGTTCATCAGTGTCTGGGCATTGAAGACTTAGGTATTTATTGTAGTCTTCACAGTCTGAGCCTGTTTGTGCCTGTCCTTCTTGGGAAGGCTTTCCAGATATTTGAAGGGACTTCAATATCAGGGATTGCAGTCAGAAACCTTAGCAATTTACCTGATGTTCTATTCTGCTGTGGCTAAGCTGGCACTCAAGCCACAGTACAAAGTCCTTCCTGCACTTTCCTCTCCCTTCCACAGGCAGAGGAGCCTCTCCTGCAGCCACCACCACCACCAGTCCACAAGGGGTTCTTCCAGGCCACTGTTAATGCTCACTTAAAGCCAAGGGCTCTTCTATCAGCTTGTGGTGAATGCTGCCAGGCCTGGGACTCACTCTTCAGGGAAGGGGGCTCCCTTCTGGCCCAGGGGACGTGCAGAAATGCTGTCCAAGAGCCTAGGCCTGGTCTGGGCCTGAAGCCCTTGAAGGCCTGAAGCAAGCTTCAAGAGCCTGCTTCTTGCTCTACTCCACTGTGGCTGAGCTGGTACCTAGGATGCAAGACAAAGTCCCCTTTACTTTTGCCTCTGCTTTTCTCAAACAGAAGGAGTTTTTCAACATAGCCATCATGGCTAGTGATATGCTGGGTCTCACCTGAAGCCAGCAAGTCTCAGAGGCTCACCAAGGCCCTCGATGCAGTGCCTGGGTATCACTGCTGGCTATTAAGGGCCCAAGGTCTCATTCATCAGCAGATAATGAATGCTGCCAAGACTGAGTCCTTCCCTTCATGGCAACTGGTTCCTTTTTGGCCTAGGGTGTGTCTGGAAATGTTGTCTGGGAGCTAGGGCCCAGAATGGGGGCCTCACAACTCTGGCCAGTGCCCTGGTCCTACTGTGGCTGAGCTGGTATCCAAAATGCAAGGCAAAGTCCTCTTCACTCTTCACTCTCCTCTCCTTAAGCAGAAGAAAGGGGTCACTTTAGTTGCTGTGAGCTGTACTGCCTGGGGATCGGGGAGGGATAGCACAAGCACTCCCTTAGCTATGCCAACTGGTGTCTCCCTAGGACATGTACTACCCTAGTTCACTGGCTCTAGGCCTAGCCTAGCACTAGGGGTTGCCTAAGAATTGCAGTCCTTGCATCGTAGACTGCCATTCAAGTTTACCTAGGACCCCAGAGCACTTCAGCCCAGGGCAGCAAAGCTTGCGGAGAAACTCAAGTTCCAATCACTGGGATGGGCAATTCCCTTCTAGCTAGGGCTGGTCCAAATGCTCCTTCTGTGCGCAGGTGCTGGCTGAGCCTAGCATGGCTTTATTCTCCACTGTGTCAGGACAGCACTGGGTTCACTGTAAAGTCCTCCAATTGCTTCACTCTCCCTCCCCAAAGTACACAGATTCTCTGTGCAGTGTGGCCACTGCCAGGGGATGAGGGAGCGGGGGCACTGGTGATTCAAGACTGCCTCTCCTGCCCTCCTCAATGCCTCTTTTAGCAATATGAAGTTAAAACCAGGTACTGTGATTGCTCACCTGATTTTTTGTTCTTGAGATGGTGCTTTTCTGTGTGCAGATAATTGTCAAAATTTGGTGTTCCAGCGTGGTTGGTCTGCAGGGATGGACAGTGTAAGCTTCTATTCCTCCATCTTGATCCTCCCCTCAGTATGTTTCTCATTTTAAATGTGTACTCGTGTGTGTGTGTGTGTATGTGTGTGTGTGTGACAGAGAGAGAGAGAGAGAGAGAGACTCACTTTTGCTAAAAAGAGAGAAGCCAAGGAAAACAGGTGGCATACTCTGTCCCTATTTCTTTTATATTTTTCATGGAAACCTGAAGTGGGAAAAAAAATTATTTTTTACTACATGGTTATGATTTTGTTATTTTAGACTAGTGATTTTGTACTTTTCTTTCTATTTTTTTTTTTTTTGAGTTTGAGTCTTCCTCTGTCACCCAGGCTAGAGTGCAGTGGCAGGATCTTGGCTCACTGCAACCTCTGCCTCCCGGGTTTTCCTGCCTCCTCCTCCTGAGTAGCTGGGACTACAGGTGCATGCTACCACACCCAGCTAATTTTTTGTATTTTTAGTAGAGATGGGGTTTGACCATGTTAGCCAGGATGGTCTCAATCTCCTGACCCCGTGATCTGCCCACCTCAACTTCCCAAAGTGCTGGGATTACAGGTGTGAGCCACCACGCCGGGCCTCTTTCTATCTTTTTCTCCTCTCACTCTGTAAACTATTATAAGCAGATCTAGGATAGTGATTTGGAATTCAGTGGCATGTCTCCACAAAAGGCCTTGACAGGGACACTTATGATGAGTTTATTGGGCTCCATATGAGTTGATGACAATGATGGGTACTTGGTGACAGCCCATTTGTTGATGCTTGTGGGTTGGGGAGGGTCATTATGTTAGCGAAATGGAACAAGAGGACAAGAGAGACCGAGCTCAACTGCTCGTTCCACACTGGGTCAAGTTTCAACTGATCCAGTATCAAGTGTCAGCTGTACTTTCATGAACAAGAAAACAAAGTGCATAATCTCGAATACCAAATTATAGATAATTAGCTGATGAACATTCCCTATATAGCACAGGATTTTTAAAAGAACAACATATTACTGTGTCTTCTGACTACAAGAGATACATGCTCACTGTAGAAATTTTAGGAAATGTAGAAAAAATATAAAGGAAAAAATCAGTGACTTCAGTTGCATAGAATGGGCTTGATTAATCCTTGCTTCCTGACAGACATGCTCATCATTGGTCTAGCATGGCCTGCTTATATTTATTTTATTATTATTATTATTATTATTATTATTATTATTATTATTATTTTGAGATAGTCTCATTCTGTCACCCAGGCTAGAGTACAGGGGCACGATCTTGGCTCACTGCAATCTTTGCCTCCCAGGTTCAAGCGATTCTCCTGCCTCAGCCACCCAAGTAGCTGGGGTTACAGGCCCCTGCCACCACGCCTGGCTAATTATTTAGTGGAGACGGGGTTCCACCATGTTAGCCAGGATGGTTTCTATCTCCTGACCTCGTGATCTGCCCGCCTCGGCCTCCCAAAGTGCTGGGATTACAGGCCTGAGCCACCGCGCCTGGCTCTATTGTATAATTTTTAATAATGTAATAATCACTTGGGAACACACCACCCAAAGCAAGAGCCAGGACCCCAACCATAGCCTATGTGGTCCTCTCCCATCTCATTTTTCTGCCTCCTCTCAGCTGAGATGACTATCATCCTTAATTCAGGAACTATCATTACTTTGTTTTTCTTTGTATTTTTTGCCTTTACATATATATATATTTGGCTACACACACACACACACACACACACACACATATGTGTGTATATATACATCTGTACATATATATGTATTTATACACACACACTGTGATGGTTAGTTTTATGTGTCAACGTGGCTAGGCCACAGGGTGCCCAGATACTTGATGAAATGTTTTTCCAGGTGCTTTTGTGAAGGTGTTTTTCGATGAGATTAACATTTAAACTGATGGACTTTGAGTAAAGCGGATTGCCTCCATAATGTGGGTGGACCTCATCCAATTGGCTGAAGGCCTGAATAGAACAAAAAGATGGGCCTCCTCTGAGCTAGAGGGAATTCTCCAGCAGACAGCCTTTGGACTTCCTCTACAGCATGAGCTCTTCCTGGCTCTACAGCAGCCTGCTACTGAACTTGAACTACAGCATTGGCTGTCCTGAGTCTCCAACCCTGCAGATTTGGGACTTGCCAGCCTTCATGATCATCTTGCCAGCCTTCATGATCATGTGAGCTAATTCCTTGTAATAAATATCTTTCTATATTTATATAAAATATAAGTTATTTTATATTATTATATTTATACACACATTTTATTAGTTCTTTTTCTCTAGAGAACTCTAACACAAACATCTACTTGTTTTTTAATGTTCAATGTGAAAAACGAATTCATACTAAACACAATCTTTTTAAACTTAGTTTTTCTCTTAATATATTACTAAAATGTAGCCGTAGTGTTACATGTCATTATAGTAGTTCATTTTGACTACTTTGTGATATTCCACTGTGTGGATATTCATCCATTCTCCTGTCATTGGGCACTTGGGTTGATTCCAGTTTTTTGCTATGAAAATAATTTTTTAATTAAAAAGAATATTAAAATATCTTAACTGCTACCTCTCAGAGATGGTTTCTACTAGAATTTTGGAAGGTATTTTTAAAGACTTTGCTATATTAATTTTTTATACAGTTAGGATTCTATTTTGTAAATATTGATATGTAATATCAAATTGCTTACCCAAAAAGTTGACCTAAGTTTTATGCCTGAGGTCATGGAATAAAAGTGTGTATTTGCTGAGGCCCCACCCATAAAGGGCTGTCTTTATTTTAAATCTATGACAAGTTGATAAGTAAACAAAGGTAATCATTGTTTTTTAATCTGCATTACGTTGATTACCTGTTAAGTAAACATTGTTCCCAAGCAACTTTAATTTCTCCTAAACAACAGGAACTATAAAGAAAAAGCTGTCAATTTTCTTACATCATTATCAATGTTTGTGAGGTGTTTATATACCCTCCGATTACGTTTAAAATTGGGTTGGTTTGTTTGAATCAATTTCGTGAACATCTTAGGTCAGCTCAGCATTTTAATGTCAACGATCAGAAATAATTAGCCTAATTATGGAATCCCAAATCACCATCAAGTTTGTGAAAAGAATTAGCTGTGGAAACACTTTGGTTTTATTTATTTATTTATTTATTTATTTTTAATAGGTTTTTTCCAACAGGCTCTATCTCTTTCTTCCAGGCTGGAGTACAGTGGCACGATCACAACTCACTGCAGCCTCAACCTCCAGGGTTCACGTGATACTCCTGCCTCAGCCTCCCAAGTTGCTGGGACCACAGGCATGTGCCACCATACCCAGCTAATTTTTTTATGTTTTGTAGAGATGGGGTCTCACCATGTTGCCCAGGCTGGTCTTGAACTCCTGGCCTCTCGCCTCAGCCTCCCAAAATGCTAGGATCATAAGCACGGGCCACCATGTCTGGCCCGCTTTGTTTTTAAACATATGTCAACCAAACTTATCTAGAAACTCAAAATTTTATTTCGCCGTTAATGCAAACATTACAGAAATTTTGCTAAATAGAGGGTAAATATAAACTAACCAAAAATTACTTATCCTCACCATCAAGAGGTAGCCACATGAACTTATTTTCATATTTCCTTCTATTCTTTTCTAAGCATTTTTACATAGTCAAAATATTACATAGTCAAAATGTCTGGGACTTGAAGGCGACAAAGGCACAGAAACCAGCTCTCACAGTAGGAGATTGTAAAGTGGCCCTATTTTCATCACATTAAAATTATAACACGAGCATTTTCTCAAGTTATTAAAAGTTCCTAAGAAAGATTGTTTTAATAGGCACAAAATAATCCATGGTATGGATGTGCATCTTTCTTTTGGTCATTTCCATTTTGTTGACGTTCATTTTATTTCAAGTTGGTTGATTTGTTTGGACCATTAAATATGAAGAATGCTTGAGCTCACGAGTTTGAGACCAACCTGGCATGGTGGCACGTGTCTGTAGTCCCAGCTCCCTGGGAGGCTTAGGTAGGAGGGTGGTTTGAGCCCAGGAGGTAGAACTTGCAGTGAACCAAGATTGTGCTACTGCACTCAAGCCTGGGTGAAAGAGCGAGACTGTCTCAAAAAAATTTTTTTTAAAAAGAGAAAGTCTACCCACTAGCTCTTCTCTAAGTTTGATGCTATTTGCAAACATGCAAACATGTTTGGTGAGGCAATGACAGTCTAAAGCATTGTTCCATGTTTCTCTTCAGGACTGGTAAATTCACTAAAAGTTATGCTCGTCAGCAGCACATCTCTTTGGCTCTGTCTTAGGCACTGCTGCCCTTCAAGCTGCATGAAATAACTGACAATTATAAGAGCCAGAAAGCAATAGACTGTACTATGAATAGAAGAAAAGGCAGAGCATGGGGGAGGAGAGCCGGGCATGAATCCACCTTCTTCCCCTGCATTGTCCGTGCAGAATGCACATCCGAGTAGACCTGCCCTGTGGGAGCAGCCTGCAGTCATCCCAAACCCTGCCTGGGATCCAGCGAGTTTGCTCAATGTATGAAGTAAACAGTAAGAAGCCCACTCAGACCACAGGCCCAAACACAGAAGAAAAGCTTACAAATTTATCCCATTTGAGTCCTGTGTGTATTCTTAATTTCAGAACCAACAGGAGAGAATGAAGAGAATTGTATGATTAGTTGAGTTCTTCATCCTCATTCTTGGAAATAACTCAGAACTATAAGCACCAGAGAGCAATAGACTGTACTATGAACAGAAGAAAAGGCAGAGCATGAGGGAGGAGAGCCAGTGAGTTAGTTAGTCCTTCAGGAAGATTGTCTTTTGGCACATTCTTCTGGCTTTCCTGGACACAGCAAAAAGAAATTGCTTCATGGCAATTCTGTCCCTTTCCCCTTCTCTCCTCCTCCCCCAGATGCACAGAGAACTTCTCAAAATTCTGCCTTGATCATTTCTCCCTGGGAGAACAAATGTCAGTTTTCCCAATGTATTTATATATTATGATTTTTTTTTAATGAATAAAATTTAACCAAACTGTTCTGGCCATTGCTGACCTGCTGCAAAAGTGTTTTAGTTCTTGAAATCATTACAGTTTATCTCATAATCAAGATAAAGCAGTTTATTTTTATTATCAATATTGCTATTAGAAGAAGAGGATGTATACGCCATGTAATACTATGCGGCCATAAAAAAGAATGAGTTCATGTCCTTTGCAGGGACATGGATGAAGCTGGAAGCCATTATTCTCAGCAAATTGGAACAAAATTCTATGCTTTGGGTCTGTTAATAGAAAAGTTAGGAACCACACACACAAAAAAAGCAGAAGAAGAGGATGAAGAAAAAGAAGAAAGCAGAAATTAAGTGCGCCCTTGCTTCTAATACTGGAGACTAACTGGTGGCAAACAGACCCCTACTTTGTATGTCAGGGGTACAATGCACTTAGGAGTTTGAGCCTGTTCACAGGCAGGGGCCATAGTGGAGGACACATGGCAAATTCTGGGACCTTGGTTTTTCACTGCAGGACGAGGATGGCACTAGGCCACCCTGGCTGCTACTCTGTTCTTACCACTCATTAAGATGAGGTGCTGGCCAGGCACGGTGGCTCATGCCTGTAATCCCAACACTTTGGGAGGCCGAGGCAGACAGATTGCTTGAGGTCAGGAGTTCAAGACCAGCCTGTCCAACATGGCGAAACCCCATCTCTACTAAAAATACAAAAATTAGCAGGGCATGGTGGCGTGTGCCTGTAATCCCAGCTACTCAGGAGGCTGAGGCGGGAGAATCACTTGAACCTAGGAGGCGAGGTTGCAGTGAGCCAAGATCGTGCCACTGAACTCCAGCCTGGGGAACAGATCGAGACTCCGTCTCAAAAAGAAAAAAAAAGATGAGGTGCTTACCTGCGTCCCAATGGCTACGTGCTGCCACTTGACCTGTATAATCTCTATTGGAGAATCCCATTCTTCACCAGCGTCTCCTATCAGTGTGATCTTTAAGAAGACAGCCAACCACTGAGCTTCACAGAAATGCCAAGACCACCCTCAGCACTACGTTCCTTGCTGTTTTGTTGAGTAGGGTGTCCTTCAGGCTCTCTCATGCAACATAGTTCTCTGGTGCAGTTTCCATGAAGAAACACCAGCCTTTGCTAGAGAGGAGCAGGCCACTTCTGCGAAGTCGGAGGGTTCAGGGACATATGGGGACCCAAGATTTTCAGAGACATCAATCCAGATGCTCATATCCTATACTTCAGGGTTCCATTCTTCCACTAGGTGACACAACAACGATTCCACTCAACTAGAATTTGAGACTGCCACCAGGTCACTTTGGGTTTCTCATGTCTCTGAATCATCCAGAAGAGAAGGGGGTTACTATTCTGGCTGGGGTGATCCATTCTGATTTCCAAGGATAATAGGGTTGCTGTTACACAATAGAGGGAAGGAAGGGACTGTCTGGAACACAGGCGATCCCTTAGGGTGTGTCTCAGTGCCAACACATCCTGTGATCAAAGTCTATTGAAAATTTTAACGAGTCAATTCAGGTAGGACTGCTAATGGGTCAGACCTTTTAGAAATGAAGGCTTGGGTTATTCTACCAGGCAAAGAACCATGACCGGCTGAGGTGTTTGCTGAGAGTAAAGGGAACGTGGAATGGGTAGTGGGAGAAGGTAGCTATCAATATCAGCTATGACCAGTTGCAGAAATGATGTCTATAATTGTTATGAGCATTTATTCCTTATTTTGGCATGCATATTTTTTGTTTGTTTGTTTTTGGTTTTGTTTTTTGAGACAGTTTCACTCTTGTCGCCCGGGCTGCAGTACAATGGCGTGACCTCAGCTTGCTGCAACCTCCGCCTTCCAGGTTCAAGCGATTCTCCTGCCTCAGCTGGGATTACAGGCATGCGCCACCATGCCCAACTAATTTTGTAGTTTTAGTAGACACAGGGTTTCACCACATTGGCTAGGCTGGTCTCAAACTCCTGACCTCAGGTGATCAACCTGCATCAGCCTCACGATGTGCTGAGATTACAGGCATTAGCCACCATGCCCAGCCGCATATGGTTATATTCCAATATTTCATGTTCTGCCTTCTCTCTTCTCTTATCATCTAACATAAGGTGTATTAATAATAGTTAACTTTATATCATAGTGTTTAAGATGCAAGATATCAAAGCAGAAGAGTGAACATCACTCAAGAACTTGGCATTGTCTTCCGGGGAAAGGGTTCGTATGTTTTTGGTTCTATGCAGGATGGTTGTATCATGTGAGGCAGAAGTATGAGCTTGTCATTATTTTTGTTTAGAGATTAAGTATGGCTTAAGGAAATGTTTATGGGTGTCAAGCTGACAAAGGGTGGATAGTGAGTTTCAGGGGTCAGTTTGGCCAGGTTACAGTCCCGTTACTCAGTCAATCACTGAGCGAGGTATTGCTGTGAAGGTATTTTGCAGATGGGATTATAAGTCCATAATCAGTTAACTCTAACTTAGGGATATTATCCTTGATAATATGGGGGGCCTGATTCACTCGGTTAAAAGGCCATAAGAGCAGAACTGAGGTTTGCCTAAAGAACAAGAAAGTCTGGGCTGGGCGTGGTGGCTCACGCCTGTAATCCCAGCACTTTGGGAGGCCGAGGCGGGCAGATCATGAGGTCAGGGGATGGAGACCATCCTGGCTAACACGGTAAAACCCTGTCTCTACTAAAAATACAAAAAATTAGCCAGGCGTGGTGGCGGTGCCTGTAGTCCCAGCTACTCAGGAGGCTGAGGCAGGAGAATGGCATGAACCCAGGAGACGGAGCTTGCAGTGAGCCGAGATAGCACCACTGCACTCCAGCCTGGGCAACAGAGTGAGACTCTGTCTCAAAAAAAAAAAAAAAAAAAAAAAATTAAGTCTGCCTCTGGACAGGCTGCTCCACATGGTGGCCTGCATTGTGGATTCAGCACTCTCTGGATGGCAGACTGAGGTGGAGATAAGAATACAGACAATGCACTGGGGAGTGTTGTAGGGCTTAACAACTACTCAGAAGGGCAAGGCTGGGCAGGAAGTGTGAATCTACCAGACTCATGTTATACTCCTCAGCCTCTCAAAAGAAGTGAGTTGTTGAAGAGAATTTATCTATCTATCTATCTATCTATCTATCTATCTATCTATCTATCTATCTAATCTATCTATCTATCTATCTATCTATCTATCTATCTATCTATCTATCTATCTATAGAGACAGGGTCTTGCTGTGTCACCCAGGCTGGAGTGCAGTGGCACAATTGATCTTGACTCACTACAGCCTCGACCTCCCAGGCTCAAGCGATCCTCCCACTCCAGCCTCCCAAGTAGCTGGAACTACAGGCATGCATCACCACACCTGGCTAATTTTTGTTTGTTTAGTTTTTGTTGTTGTTGTTGTTGTATTATAGAAACGAGATCTAACCATGTTTCCCAGGCTTGTGCTGAACTCCTGAGCTCAAGCGATCCTCCCACCTAGGCCTCCCAAAGTGCTGGGATTACAGGCGTAAGCCGCCACACCTGGCACTGTTGCAGAGAATTTATTTTGAGGTTTTGGCAAGTAGGTGCTTGCAAAGAATCAAATAAATCAGGCAAAAGAAGAAATGAAATAGGATACCTAAATAAGTTTGAGATGATTTAGGATGACTACGTTTCTGTACACAGACTCCTATTCTCCCTTTAGAACATAATTCTTGGGGACAGTATTACCTCCAAGAGGGGTAAAGTGGTTCCTGAGGAGCAAAAAATCATACTGTTTTTATGCATAAAGCAGATGTACACATAGTACATAAGCAGATATACAGTACATCTGTGAGGCCAGGCGCTGTGGCTCACGCCTAAAATCCCAGCACTTTGGGAGACAGAGGCGGGTGGATCACCTGAGGTCCGGAGTTCAAGACCAGCCTGACCAACTCCGTTGGTGAAACCCTGTCTCTACTAAAAATACAAAAAATTAGCCAGGCGTAGTGGCACATGCCTATAATGCCAGCTACTCCAGAGGCTGAGGCATGAGAATCACTTGAACCCGGGAGGCAGAGGTTGCAGTGAGCTGAGGTGGCCCTACTGCACTCCAGCCTGAACAACAGAGCAAGACTCTGTCTCAAAAAATAAATAAATTTTTAAAGAAATGGGGTCTTGCTCTTTTGCCCAGGCTGGAGTGCAGTGGTTATTCACCGGTGCAATCATGGTGCACAGTAGACCTAAATTGCTAGGCTCAAACGATCCTCCTGTCTCAGCCTCCTGGGTAGCTGGGACTATAGCCATGTGCTATGGCACCTGGCTTCCCATTTTCCAGAAATGAGGAAACTGAGTCTGAAGGAGAAAGGAAGCTTGCAAAAGTCATACAAAGGAGGCAGGGCCTCTGGCTCCAGTTCTCCCAAAGAAGCTGGGAAGAGAGAACCTCTTGAAGTAGTAGAACAACCCAATTTGGTAGTGTCATCACCTCCTTGAAAAATAATTCTCCATAGGCCGGGTGCGGTGGCTCACGCCTATAATCCCAGCAGTTTGGGGAGGCCAAGGCAGGTGGATCACTTGAGGTCAGGAGTTTGAGACCAGCCTGGCCAACATGGTGAAACCCCATCTCTACTAAAAATATAAAAAAAAATTAGCCAGGCATGATGGTGGGCACCTGTCATCGCAGTTACTCCGAAGGCTGAGGTAGGAGAATTGCTTGAACCTGGGAGGCGGAGGTTGCAGTGAGCTGAGATTGTGCCACTGCACTCCAGCCTGGGCGACAAGAGAGAAACTCCATCTCAAAATAAATAAATAAATAAATAAATAAATAAATAAATAAGTAATTCACGTACAACCAGTTCCACTTTGGCTACTATGCTGCTTTGGATGGGGAGGGTTTAAACTTAATTTTCTCATTTCAATTTTATTTACGTAGTTATTTGAATTACTGCAACCGTAAAACTTTCTCAAATATTCTTATTTTTTCTTTTATTGTTTTCATTCTCTCTCTGTATCTGATACTGGGTAACCCAGGCTCAAGTGCAGTGGTGCCATCTCAGCTCGCTGCAGCCTCAACCTCCTGGACTCAAGTGATCCTCTGGCCTCAGCCTCCCGAGTAGCTGAGACTACAGGCACATGCCACCATGCCCAGCCAATGTTGTTTATTTTTTGTAGAGATGAGGTCTCATTATGTTTCTTAGGCTGGCCTCAAACCCCTGGGTTCAAATGATCCTCCCGCCTCAGCCTCCCAAATTGCTGGGATTACAGGAATGAGCCACTGTGCCTGGCCGTTCTCTTATCATAACTCAGTATCTATCTGCATCTTTACTTTTATGAATAAATGTAGCTGCTTCTTGGTCGACCATAGAACACTAGATTTCTTTTTCCTCCTAAATGGGTGCAGTTCCTGTCAGATTCTTACCAGCTAACACGCATCTTTCTACTCTTTTTTTTTAGAGATAGGATCTCATTCTGTTGCCCAGGCTGGAATACAGTGGTGCAATCATAGCTTGCTGCAGTCTCAAACTCTTGGGCTCAAGGGATCCTCCCCCTGAGCCTCCCATAGTGCTGGGATTACAGGCGTGAGCCACTGTGCCTTGTCTCTTTCCAAATTTCTGATGCAGCAATAGATAAATGCACCATGTGTTATGGTGGTAAAATCTCATTCTGCCCTTCTCTCTCTTCAGATTTTCCTTAAGCCTCCTTGTCTTTATAATTACCTGCCTTCCAGCTCTCAGGACCTCAGCACAAAGGGTTACTTTAGAGACAAGTTTGAAAATTACAGGAAAGATTTTGTTTTTATCCCTTTCCCTCGCTTAACATCGACCAACTTAGCATGAGGCATTTTCCCACGGTTTATTCCTCAGAAGCGGGACCCCATAGTCCCTTGTGGGGCTCTGTCTGTGGCTGTTCCTCTCTGCCTTCCTCTCTGGCTTCTCTTCTCCTGTCAAAGGGACAGATGGTGCACTCAGTGGGGGAGGAATGGAGCAGATGTGAGCAGCTATCTTCAGGTTGTGGAGGAGAGGCACAAGGCCTGTCCCCAGGGAAGGCAGGATGTGCCCTGCTCCTGCCTCCCAGCAGCTTCACTTTTAGCACAGGGCAGTCTTGGTCTTCCTGCAAATGTCATTCCACGTGTGGAATTTTCCAGACTTGTGGAAAGATGATTCCCTTCTTGTTTCACGCTCGTCTTGCCTGCCTTGACCTTCGTGAGATTCTGTGTCTGGGAGAAGGGCATTGGATCTTTGTAAAATCATGTCAAAATCTTCTGTCCACTTTTTCTATTTTGAGACAGTCTTGCTCTGGTCACCCAGGCTGGAGTGAAGTGGCACAATCACAGCTCACCTTGCTGCAGCCTCATCTTCCCAGGCTTAAGAGATCCTCCCACCTCACCCTCCCGAGTAGCTGGGACCACAGACATGTGCCACCACTCCCAGCTAATGTTAGTATTTTTTGTAGAGACGTGGTCTCGCTATGTTGCCCAGGTTGGTTTTGAACTCCTGGGCTCAAGCTATCCACCTGCCTCAGCCTCTCAAACTGCTGGGATTACAGGCCTGAGCCACTGCAGCTTCTGTCCACTCTTATACTGAGTCTTTTTAAGCAAATCCAAATCCCAGGACTATTTAAATCATTGGAGTGAAGCACATTTTCTTTTTGGTTTCTTAATGAGTTCTTTCACTCAACTTCAACACTAAGAAGACTTCACTTTCTAATCCTTCATCCATATTCCCCTCTCCTCCCTCCACCCATCTTCTTTCTCCATATAATATCCTTCCCTGCATTTATTTTTTTCAGTCTTCAAAGCTCTTTGAAATGTGTGATCTAGTCACCAAAAGCTATCTGGGGACACCTACCCACAAATCTCGGTGTCACGTTGTAACCATAAACTTTGTCGTTTCACATGATAAACTCTGTAGCTAACTGATCCGCACAAACATGATTTTCTATTCCCTTCCCCTCCCACCAGGTGGGGGGCTGAAACCCCCCACCACCACCACCACCTGCCACTGGGGATTAAATCTGTGACTCTGCTTTTTCTTCTCTGCCAAACACTCAGTCCTTGCTATCGAGCCTCCTATTCTTCTCAAGTTCCTAGTTCTTTACAGATTAGCCCTTCCTTCCTCCGTAATAGAAGCTTTGGAGACAGGAAAAATAGCAGCTTCCTGTTCTGCCTGTTTATTATGTTTAATTAACTCCTCTATGGCGATCTCTATTTTTATTGGCCAGGATTAACGTTCATAGTTGAAAACTTAGTTTTCAGCGAAGGCTGGATTCTAGAATATTTACCATATTAGGTCTGGCTTTTGTGATTTACCCCACAAAATAAAGACTCATTTCTGTAACTCACAAGGCAGCTCACAAGTGGCAGTGTATCGTGAAGTCGGGTGCAAAAAACATTAAGGTTCCCACTATGGGAGTGAAAGGGCAGATCGGTCACTGACGGGGTCTGTGACGGATGTGTGTATGTGTGAGAAGCAAAAAGAGAAAACTATGCTAGGCAGGTTAAGTTTTACACCATGTAAAAATGTAGACTCCAGGCTGGGCGTGGTGGTTCACGCCTGTAATTCTAGGCGAGAAGAATTTGGGAAGCCAAGGCCAGAGGATTACTTGAGCCCAGGAGTTCAAGACCAGCCTAGGCAACATGGTGAAAGCCTGTCTCTATTTTTTTTTAAATACAAAAATTAGCTGGACGTGGTGGTGCACACCTGTAGTCCCAGCTACTCGGGAGGCTGAGGCGGGAGGATCACTTGACAGCAGTGATCGTGGCACTGCACTCCAGCCTGGGTGACAGACTGAGACCCTGACTCAAAAAAAAAAAATGTAGAGTCTAATGCACAAGAATCTTTAGGCTTTTGGGACTTTCTTCACCTGGTGGGCGGTAAGAGTGAAAGAAGTGAGCGGCCACCACATTCGGAGTTGCTGGTTTTCCTGCTGTGTGTCTTTCATGAGCTTATTTACATGGGAAGTATGCTCAAAGTGCCTCACAGAAAGTCTAGTCTTCTGGAAAGTTCTTCTTTACTACATGATCTCAGCTAACTACAGCCTCAACTTCCTGGACTCGAGGGATCCTCTCACCTCAGCCTCCTGAGTAGCTGAGTCTACGGGCATGTACCATCATGCCCAGCTAATTTTGTTTATTTTCTGTAGAGACGAGGTCTCATTATGTTGCCCAGGCTGGTCTCAAACTCCTGGGTTCAAGCGATCCTCCCACCTCAGCCTCCCAGAGTGCTGGGAGTACAGGAATGAGCCAGGGCGCCTGGCTGTTCTCTTATCATAACTCAATATCTATCTGCATCTTCACTTTTATGCATGAATGCAGATGCTCCTTGCCTGTGGCAATGATAACAGCCACAGTGGGCAATGGGAAGTTCAGTAGATGCCACCTCATCCTGCAAGCCTCATCGAGAACTAGCAAGCTGTGGGCGCCCCCACCTCTGTTCTCCAACTGCATGACCACATTCTGTTGTAAATAGGAAAAGCCCAATTCCAAATTGCTTAAGGAAAAACAAAGTTGTTTATTGGCTCACAACATGAACATCCAAGGGAGAACTAGCTTCAGATCCTGGCTGGGTTCAGGGGCTCATCTCCCTTTCACCATCTCCTCCTCCTGCTTTCCTCTATTTGCAGTCCATTGCTTATATTCTTACCTCATGGTGGCAAGAGGGCTGCCAGCACCTGGCCAGCTTTTATCCTCTCCTCATCAATTCCAGTTGGAAAAGCCTGCCTCCCTCTTAAGAGTTTCCAAAAAAAAAAAAAGACTCTGGAATTGAGTCTGACTTTGACTGAGTCATACTCCCATGCCTAAAATGTGCCTGGAGACAGAGGTGTGCATGCTAATTGGCCAGACCTGGATCACATGCCCACCCTTAGAGCCAGCCCTAAGCCACCTGGGCTGGGAGGAAAGCGAAGGTGGATCCTTTAGGGAAATACGGGTTCCATTACCAAATCAAAAGGAATTGGATGCTGTGCAAGCAAAACAGTAAATGTACACCATACCCAAACCACAACTGCAGCTGCCCTATAGAGTAGAAGTTGAACAGTTTGTTCTGACGTATGCACATTTGTTTCAGAACTTCCAAGACAGATTTGAAATTCAATTCACCCAGTTAGTTTCTCCCATCCTCCCTCCTGGGTGGCTAGCCCCATTTCTGCCTGTTTGTGACTCATGTATAACTTCTCCTCTCCAAGTACTATTTCCATCTCTCCCAGATTTTAAAATATTTTATACTTATGCAAACTTTAGGGGAAAAAAGCTAGGCCATAAATGTATTTGTGGCATGGGTGTGAATGTTTCGAGAGCAAAGGTTAATGGTAATGCTTGGAAGTTCATAGTTAAGACACCCTGTAGTTGGGTCAGGTGCGGTGGCTCACGCCGTAATCCCAGCATTTTGGGAGGCCAGTGCGGGTGGATCACGAGGTCAGGAGATCGAGGCCATCCTGGCAAACACGGTGAAACCCCGTCTCTACTAAAAATACAAAAAATTAGCCGGGCGTGGTGGCAGGTGCCTGTAGTCCCAGCTACTCGGGAGGCTGAGGCAGGAGAATGGCGTGAACCCAGGAGGCGGAGCTTGCAGTGAGCCGGGATCATGCCACTGCACTCCAGCCTGGGCAACAGAGTGAGACTCTGTCTCAAAAAAATAAAAAAATAAAAAATAAAAAATAAAGCCTGGCTATTCTCTCAGCCCTGGTCTTACCTGGGGCTCCCCCTTCACAAGCCCAGGAAAAGAGCTCAGAGACTACTGATTTCCACCCTCCTGCAGTCAAGGAGGCATCAATTGCCTTCCTTCTTGGCACCCAGGAGTATCAGGAATAATAGCTTAGAAATCGTACTTTTTTTTTTTTTTTTTGAGACAGAGTCTCACTCTGTCACCCCGGCTGGAGTGCAGTGGTGCAATCTCTGCTCACTGCAAGCTCCGCCACCTGGGTTCAAACAATTCTCCTGCCTCAGCCTCTAGAGTAGCTGGGACTACAGGCACGAGCCACCACATCTGGATAAATTTTTTGTATTTTCAGTAGAGACAGGGTTTCATCATTTTGGTCAGGCTGGTCTCAAACTCCTGACCTCAACTGATCTGCCCACCTCAGCCTCCCAAAATGCTGGGATTACAGGTGTGAGCCACCATGCCCGGCCAGGAATGATACATTTTTATGCTCCTGTTTGATGCTCTCCCATCGAGTTCCTGAGAGTCAGCTGTTAGTTAGTGGAAAGTGAGAACCCGAGCTTTTCCATCTGACTTATACCCCATTCCCTTCTTTTTCAGGGACCTGTGTTCAGACTACATTCCCCTAGGTCCCTCTCTTCCATCATCCTTGCCAGGACAAACCATTGTCTTCAGGGAAATATACCCTGGACCACTTCCCATAGATCTGCCAACACCCTCAGCCCAGGGAAGGTCAGACTCTTGAGAGGAGGGGCTGGGTAGATGGAGTGAAGGAGGCATTGCCTATGACTTACAGAGTGGTGAATCAAAAATATTTATTTGAAAGAAAATACCTTTAATTGCACAAAATGTTGCTGTTATATAATACTTTTCTTTAAATAGAGTAGAATGAATAAGATCATATATGTACCAACATCTACTTTTCCACGTGACAATTAACATTTGGTCTGAATTGTTACTTATCAATGAAGTCTATTTATGCCAGCCAATAGGTATGTCAGTGGCATTACTGAAAGTCAACTTCGGACCAGGCACAGTGGCTCACACCTGTAATCCCAGTACTTTGGGAGGCCAAGCCGGGTGGATGACTTGAGTTCAGGAGTTTGAGATCAGCCTGGCCAACAGGGTGAAACCCTGTCTCTACTAAAAATACAAAAAATTAGCCAGGCCCCTGGTGGCACGTGCCTGTAATCCCAGCTACTTGGGAGGTCGAGGAGGGAGAATCGCTGGAACCCAGGAGGCAGAGGTTGCAGTGAGCCAAAATCGCACCAGTGCAATGCAGCCTGGGAGACAGAGCAAAACTCCATCAAGAAAAAAAAAAAAAAAAGAAAAAGACAGTAAACTTTGGGCAGGGCATTGTTGAGATGTTGAGGAAGCCATAGAGATGGAGTAAAAGATGGTCCCTTTATGAGGTTGGCAGTAGGGAAGAAAGGACCTTGATGTGTAAAAGATACCAAAGTCATATTTTCAGATACACTGTTTTGAGTTTATTATTATTTAAAATTGTGGTTTCACTCTGTCACCCAGGCTGGAGTGCAGTGGTACGATCATAGCTTACTGCAGCCTTGAACTCCTGGGCTCCAGCGATCCTCCTGCCTCAGCCTCCTGGGTAGCTGGGAATACAGGCACACACCACCACATCTGGCTAAGTTTTTAAATTTTTCATGGAGACACATCTCGCTATGTTGCCTAGGCTGGTCTCAAACTCTGATCTCAAGGGATCCTCCTGCCTTGGCCTCCCAAAGTGCCGGGATTACAGGAATGAACACGTGGTTCTTTTGAGTTTATTTTAAATGACTGAGGGATGCCCACTTTTAAGGAGAAGGTTCTAGAGAGTTACTGCATACACAAACCTTTACACTAAATACTGATGTCAGAACCCAAGAATAGTGTACTTTCAGAGGTCAAAAGTTTATGCAAACATTCCTAGATAGCAGTGCTGGACGTTATGGTTTTTGAGCATTAGAGACAGACCGCCTGCATTTTAGGCAATGTGGACCCCACCTCAGTTTAGAATCTGGCTAGATATCTTTTCTATACATGGTCTAACCTGAATGTATAAAGCAGTTATTTCCAACAAGTGGCAACCTGTCATGACACTAACTGTACAAGCAGTTAATGCACAGAATGAGCCTTACCTGCCAGAGATCACAGAGATCTATGGAGGTCACAGCACAGGTGTGACTTGAAGGACGAGAAGGAATGGGGAAGGCAGACCAGGAAGAAGGGGGACATCGGCAAAGACCCCAAAGTGGGAAAACTCAAGGTCAATTCAGGGCTCAAGATGTGCTGCCTGCTTATCTGAAGTAGCGTCTCTGCGATGAGCTCAGACTAAAGAGGGTCTTTGGTTACCTTTTTAAACTTTGGGCCCATAATGAGGACTCAAGAAATACTTGCTGGGTTGTTAATTAATCCAGTGTAGCAGAGATTTGTTTTTTAGAAGAGTCTCACTCTCTCACCCAGGCTCGAGTGCAGTGGCACAATCTCCACTCAGTGAAACCTCGATCTCCGAGGCTCAAGTGATCCTCCCGCCTCAGCCTCCTGAGTGGCTGGGACCACAGACATGCACCACCATGCCCAGGTAATTTTTGTAATTTTTGTAGAGATGGGGTCTGTCTGTGTTGCCCAGGCTGGTCTTGAGCTCAGAGGCATGTGCAGATTAACTGGAAGGAAATATTTCTTCAAGGTTAGGCATAATTTTCCACTTTGGCTGAAGCTATTGAGCATCTACTCTGTGCCAAACGTTTTTTCTGGGTGTTGGGAATATGGCAGAGAGTGAGGCAAAAGCCCTGCCCTCATGGAGCTGATGTTTTAGTACAGGTCAGGGAAGCAGACTGCAAGAAGCTGAATAAACAAGTGAACAATGAAGAGCATCTTAGACAGTGAGATTGTTAGGAAGACCATAGAGTGATATCACATAACCGGGAGGAGGAGGGTTACTTTAGATAGGGTGGCCAGGAGGATTTCTTTTTTTTTTTTTTTTTTTTTTGAGACAGAATCACACTCTGTCATCCATGCTAGAGTGCAGTGGTGCAATCATAGCTTACTGCAGCGTTAAACTCCTGGGCTCAAGGGATCCTCCCACCTTAGCCTCCCAAGTAACTGGGACCACAGGTGCAAGATACTGTGTCTGGCTAATTAAAACAATTTTTTTTTTTTTTTTTTTTTTTTTTTTTTTTGGAGAGAGGAGGTCTCACTTTGTTTCCTAGGCTGTTCTTGAACTCCTGGGATCAAGTGATCCTCCTTCCTCTGTCTCCCAAATTTTACAAAAGTGACATCATCAAACTAAAGGTCTGAAGGAATATTGGACTCATAAGTACCCCTACCACACTACACACAAGGGCCCAAGAGGACCTTTAGTGCCAGAGCACACCTTTGTTGTCAGGTCTGGAGGTACCTCCTTTAGGGCAGATGCTAAAAGAGCCTGTTCCTCCCTTCTGCAAAGGTAGCCAGTATCACCCAGACTAGCTGAGCGATCTTTGGCGCTCCATCATCCTGCTCTAATTTTCCACTTTCTTACCTGAGAAATGGTGGGAATGGGCCAGTTCCTTCAAATTCTTTTGAGTTCTAGCATCCTGGGATTCCATGATCCCTATCATTGCTTATCATGTTCAGAAATGCGGGAAAGGCCAGGCTCGGTGGCTCACACCTGTAATCCCAGCACTTTTGGAGGCTGAGGTGGGCGGATCACCTGAGGTCAGAAGTTTGGGACAAGCCTGGCCAGCATTGTGAAACCCTGTCTCTACTAAAAATACAAAAATTAGCTGGGCGTGGTGGCGCATGCCTGTTGTAATCCCACATGCTCAGGAGGCTGAGGCAGGAAAATTGCTTAAACCCAGGAGGTAGAGGTTTCAGTGAGCCGAGATCGTGCCATTGCACTCCAGCCTGGGTGACAAGCGTAAGACTCTGTTTCAAAAAAAAAAAAAAAAAAAAAAAACAGGAAGAAAAGAAAAGAAAAGCAAGAAAGATACTAGAGCCATCATAAAGGGACCACGGGGTATTTGCAGTTGTCTTGGTACCTAGAACTGGGGTGATAGACAAGATGCAGTATGCAACCACTAGACTCGGAGGCTCTGGGGAGATAGGAGCTGGCGTTCAGAATCGGTGCCTGCTTCTTCCCTGTGCCATCTTGTGCTCCAGACGTTGGATTTTTTCCCCCTTCTTAATGACATTTCCAGACTTCCTCACAGCTAGGCTTCTGGGTGGGAGTCAGGTTCTGCCAAGTGGATGCTCTTGGTAGAGATTTGGAAAGCAAAGAGAGACAAGACTGTCTCCCTGCTGCAGGATGTGCTGGGCTTTTCTGCAGGGTTAGCTTCCCTGTGTCTAATCACTAGCAGGGAGGGTGGCAGGAGCCTGGCTTCCTGATCCCTGGCCTCAGCAAGAGTGCAGGCTCCTAAGTGAAACCTCTGCAGGCCAGGTGCCCTGGCTCACGCCTGTAATACCAGCACTTTGGGAGGCCAAGGCGGGTGGATCGCTTGAGGCCAGGAGTTCGAGACCAGTTGGGAAACATAGTGAAACCCCATCTCTACTAAAAATGCCAAAAAATTAGCCAGCCATTGTGGCATTCGCCTGTAGTCCCAGCTACTCAGGAAGCTGAAGAAGGAGAATCGCTTGAATCGGGGAGGCAGAGGCTGCAGTGAGCCAAGATCACACCACTGGACTCCAGCTTGGGTAACAGAGTGAGACTCCGTCTCGAAAAAAAAAAAGTAAAACCTCTGAAGCACAACCCAGCTTCCCAGCCTTCCTGACTGGGGCACAGGAGCAGCACCCCAGGATCCCAGGAGAGGGGGCTGTTCTGGAAGATTTTCCTAGAGCCCCTCCTCTGTCCCCTTCGCAGATTTTTGTAAGCACCTAATTCCCTGTAGAATGTGTAAGAAGCTAGAGAGGTTTCTCTTTCCATCACATGAGCCCTTACTGATGGAGGTGCTAACCTATGTTCAGAAAAAGCAAAATCTCTTTCAGACTGTGGTGATTAAGTTTTAAATGTACTACCCAGGCATGGTAGCTCACATCTGTAATCCAAGAACTTTTGAAGGCTGAGGCAGGAGGATCACTTGAGCCCAGAAGTTTGAGACCAGCCCGGGCTACATAGTAAGACCCCGCTCTACGAAAAATTTAAAAAATTTAGCCAGGCATGGTGGAGTAGTCCCAGCAACTGCAGAGGCTAAGGTGGGAGGATTGCTTAAGCCCAGGAGTTCAAGGCTGCGGCGAGCTATGATTGCACCACCGCACCCCAACGTGGGCAACAAAACAAGACCCCATCTCGAAAAAAAAAAAAAGAGGTACTACTTACATCTTTATTTCCAAATCAGTAGAAGACTCACAGTTCCCAGGAATGCAGCTCCATACATAAAGGACCTCTGCTTACCCCAAGACTCTCAGGAATACAATTGTCCTTCAGCAAAAGTATAAATAGGCTTCAGGTATATTTAGATTGGTACTATTTGCCCTACATTCAAACACATTACTGGGCAGAGGAGTTAACAACCAGTATTTATAACATTAAATGAGAAATGCCACTGACTTACAAATAAACATTCGAGACAGAAAATCCATTTGTAAAACCAAGGACTCAAATTTGTGCATAAGGCCAGATGTTTCAAGGATTATGAGGGACTGATTATTTTTTTCTCCTCTTTCTTTTTTGAGGAAAACCATTGGTTTTCACCTCGTGCTTCCCAACAGGAAAGCAGGAAATCTGGGCCAATTTTTATTATTTTTTTTTTTTGTTGTCGTTTTGTCTCCTTTTTGGCTTACTTTCTGAAGATTTTATTAATAGAAGAATACAGTTATAAAATACTAACTGACATTTTTATGAAACTTTAAAATATGTACCAATGAAGTTCCTCTTGTCCACTAAAGTCTCAGGCTAAAGAAAAGATAGTAGGCCAGGTCTGGCAGTTCACATCTCTAATCCCAGCATTTTGGGAGGCCAAGGAAGGAGGATTGCTTGAGGCCACTAGTTCAAGTCCAGCCTAGGCAAAATAGCAAGACTCTCATGTCTACAAATTTTGTTTTCAGTTAGCTGGGTGTGGTGGTGCACACCTGTAGTCCCAGTTACTTGGGAGGCTGAAGTGGGAGGATCACTTGAGCCCAGGAGTTTGAGGTTATAGTGAGCTATGATTATACCACTGTACTCCAGCCTGGGTGACAGAGTGAGACCCTGTCTCAAAAAACAGGCAAGGGGGAAGCTAGTAGAAAATGACACCAGCAGCCAAAGCACTCCTGGTTAAGACTCATTTTTACACAAATGGCTCTCCTAGGGCCGTATGTATTCAAAGTAAATGCATCTAAACGTATTGTATAATATGCCCAGAAAAATCATCTGTTCACCCCCATTTCCATTTTTATGGGGACTCCAATGAAGGATTCTCTTTGTTTAGTAATTAAACAGGACTAGGATATTAAGAGAAAGGTTCTGACAGTAGGCAGCTTTGAGTCAAAAGTATTATAATTAAACAGAAGAAATGAAAGGAAAAGAAAATAAAGTACCATGCAAAGATCGAACTTGAAAATTAATCGGAGATCAGCGGAATTTCTGAAACTTTCCCCCTGGTTGAGGTATAGTCAGCCACACAACAAAAGTTCAACTGATGCTAATTACCTTCTCCATTTTCTCCATTGTCTTCCTCTCTTTTCCCTAACTCTTTTAAGTTTTCTATGAAAAAAAAAAAAAAAAACAGAAACAAAAACAAAAAAAAACCCTGTCTTTTCTCTACCTTGCTTCATGTCCCTTTGTGCATTTCTGAAGGTAGACGCAGTAGTCACAGATAGACATTTTCCAGCAAGAACATGGACGCTTACGTCTTGCCTTGCACTTTTTGTCTATATGACAGTAAATTCAGTGGGTTAACTGGCTGGGCATGGTGGCTCACACCTGTAATCCCAGCACTTTGGGAGGCCGAAGTGGGTGGATCACTTGAGGTCAGGAGTTCAAGACCAGCCTGACCAACATGGTGAAACCCTAGCTCTACTAAAATTACAAAAAATTAGCCAGGCATGGTGGCACGTGCCTGTAATCCCAGTTACTTAGGAGACTGAGGCAGGAGAATCGCTTGAGCCCAGGAAACAGAGGTTGCGATGAGCCGAGATTGCGCCACTGTACTCCAGCCTGGGCGACAGAACAAGACGTTGTCTCAAAAAATAAAATAAAAAATAAATAAAAAATTCAATGGATCAGCAAAGAATAGAGCTGGAAACTTCTGCTTGCTCTAATGGAATGGGCTTGCCAAAAGAGCATATTGGCTTAAAATGAATTGCTGAGCAACTCAATTCTCCATTAGCCACTAGCCTCTGAATACTCTTTCCAAAAGCCAAACCTATTGATCAAGTGCCTGGGATGTGTCCCAGACTCCTTGAGTTACCAGAGGATGCACAAAGTAGAACTCTAAGACAGGGGATCTGAAATCACAGGACCAAATGGCGTAATCTGAAATTCAATCCTGCAGGCCGATGTACACTCTCAGCATCTCCCAAATAATTCAGAATTATTTCCTGAATAAGATGCCTCTCCTGGGACGGGCAAGGTGGCTCACGCCTGTAATCCTAGCACTTTGGGAGGCTGAGGCGGGTGGATCACTTGAAGTCAGGAGTTCGAGACCAGCCTGGCCAATATGGGGAAATCCCGTCTCTACTAAAAATACATAAAAATTAGCTGGGTGTGGTGGTACACGCCTGTAATCCCAGCTACTAGAAAGGCTGAGGCAGGAGAATCTCTTGAACCTGGGAGGTGGAGGTTGCAGTGAGCCGAAATCACGACACTGCACTTCAGCCTGGGTGACAGCGAGACTCCGCCTCAAAAAAAAAAAAAAAAAAAAAAAAAAAAGAAAAGCCTCTCCTGGCTGAAAACCTGTACGCGAGAAGTGAGGTTGTAGGAAAAAAACCGAAAGATGCTGTTGAAAGAAAGAGCTTGTTGGAAAGTCACAGAGATTGAAATATGAGGGCTGAACCACACAGAGGAAAAAGAGGAGGGTTGGGGATCACTTAAACACATCAGTCCCTTGACAGTAATTTTGTTACCTTATGTTTTGGTTTGTTTTTTCTTTTTTATATAGATGCGGATAGCTTCAAAAAAAATGCTGGGCTGTTAACAATTTCTATCTGTGGCTACATTCTATCTAACTTAAATAAAAGTGCCAGCAAACAGAAGTAGCAATGACCATGACATACTTCCTGACCTGTACAATCTCATAAAATTCTGTTGTTTACTGGAAGCTTCTTACTCAGGGGCAGACTGGGGGGCAGGGGCTAGGGGAAGAAAGGGAAGAAGGAAGAACAATACCTCTCCAAGCAAACCCAGACCATTAAAATTCCACCACGGGGTCGGACGCAGTGGCTTACGTCTGTAATCCCAGCACTTTGGGAGGCCAAGGCGGGCAGATCACCTGAGGTTGGGAGTTCAAGACCAGCCTGACTAACATGAAGAAACCTCATCTCTACTAAAAATACAAAATTAGCTGGGCGTGGTGGGGCATGCCTGTAATCCCAGCTACTCAGGAGGCTGATGCAGGAGAATCGCTTGAACCCAGGAGGCGAAGGTTGCAGTGAGCTGAGATTGCGCCATTGTACTCCAGCCTGGGCAAAAAGAGTGAAACTCTGTCTCAAAAAAAAAAAAAAAAAAATCCACCACGTGGGACCAACATCAGGAAATATTTCAATAGAATAAGTAATCTTGGGCTAAGAAACCTTGACACAGAGCCCCTGAAATCAAGGTCTCTGGAAAATTCAGACAGGAAAAGTTCTGTATGTGGCATGACTTTTTTTCTTTTTTTCTTTCTTTTTTTTTGGCACAGGCCTGGAAAATTGAAATCAAATGCTGCACAGTCAAGCAACTTCTAAGCAATTTCAAATAAGTACAGTCATAATTCATCTCTAGTCAAACAATGTGAGATTTTAGTAAGAGCAACAGGAAAAGTTCTACAGGGAAAGAACACTTCTAACTTCCATTGTTCTGCAAATACTCCTCCACAAGTAATTTTCTTCCCTTAGTTACTGAGTGGGTGTCTGATGATCATGATCGGAACATGAGAAAAGGTAAATCATATTTTTTATTCCTGTAAAGGATAAGTGTGATTATTTAATTCTTACATAATTCTGGCTACATGATATGCAAGTATGTTAATTTGAGTGATGTAGCAGAATCTGTGTTCCTTACAGCCTCCCACCCAGGTAACTGGAAAATACCCGGGTGATGAGATAATACTCTTTGGGGCCCCAGCCCTGTTTTTGGCTTTGAGACTGGCCTGCAGAATGTACTATGCAAATTGTTTAACCTCTTTCTCTTTCACAAGGGCATCTGCAAAATGGGATGGCAGCGGTGTTTCTGAAACTATTTAGACAAGACTCAGTGTTGCTATGAGGGTACATAAACTTCTCCTAAAGTTCCAATTCGTCCTGGAAAGTATTGTTATACACGATAATAACAACCACCTCCATCAGACCTGAGCGTCTCGCAGGGGTGTCCAAGGGAGAGAATACAGTCATGGGTTCTTCATTTCTATTTTTGGTTGAGCCAGTAAAGCCCCTTCCTCATCCCTCTTTTCCACTTATCACTAGAGATGGAAACTGAAAACGATGGCTTTAGGCTGCTAAAAGTCTAAAAACACAACAGCAACAACAACAACAAAATAAGGCAGGTTGGACAAGCTTGATACAGTTAAGATTGTGAACCCAACTTGATTCAGTTTATTAAGATTTCTTCCACCCTGAAACATTCTGGAACTCTATACTAAGATCACAAACACCAGTGTTTTGAGTGAACAATAAGACTTAGAAAAATGGCATAGAATGGGATTTTTTTTCTATTTTAAATATTTCCATCTGAAATAATTATAGACTCATAAAAAGTTACAAAAATAGTACAGAGAGGTCACATCTATCCTTCTCCCAGCTTCCCCCAATTGTAACATCTTATATAACTGTAGTACACTGTCAATGCCAGGAAATGAACATTGGCACCATAGTATTCACTAGATTTGCACTTCACTGGGATTAGAGCAGGTTCAAACAATTTGGACACTCCTGGAGGTAATTTGAATCATTTGCATAAAATTTATTCTCAGAAGTAACATGGTATAGGGAATTTACACTTATCAGATCTTTGTATTGTGGGCAAGTTGTTTAATGGCACCAAGCCTCGGTTTGTTCATCTGTGAAATGGAAACAATGATACCTACCAAATAAGTTGTTATGAGGAAATAGCTCCAGTTCAGTGAGTGCCATATATTAGGAACTTTGATGCCATATATTAGGCTTAGATGCAGGAATCAGAAGAAGGAGGGAATCCAGCAGTCCCTATTTCTTTCTGCCTTCCTGACTACCTGCCACCCTGTGCAGGTGCGTGATTTGCGCAAATTGCAGCATTGGTCCTAAGGGTGACTATAAAACCCATATGGGCTTCTGTACGTCCTAGTTTTTCTCATGTCTCACAGTCATTTGTCTTTTATAAGCCAACTGGGCAAGTGCCATCCTTCATTCTTTTTTTGGTACGGTGCCTGCCATGTCTAAATGCTCAATTAATGAAATTACAGTAATAACCCTCCTTCTGGCCTGGTGTTCTGGAAGCAGTGTGGGGTGGATGATGGGTCTGGAGTGGATTTTCCTAGGTCCCCAGTGGAAGTCGGAAGGTCACCGCAGTGCTAGTTGGAAGAGAAGGTGGAGAGGGACAAGTGGAGGTGAAGGTTGTGTGGAAGGCATACCGACAGGAGTGGGTTGAGAGAAAGAAAAGTTGAGGTTGGAATGGAGGGGGTCCCTAGGCTCAAGGAAAGTCTAGAGGTTTGGTTTTGTTTTGTGTGTGGTTTTTTTGGTGGTTTTATTTTTTGATTTTTTTTTTTTTTTTTTTTTGAGACGGGGTCTCAGTCTGTCATCCAGGCTGGAGTGCAGTGGCACGATCTTGGCTCACTGCAACCTCCCCACTCCCAGGTTCAAGCGATCCTCCCACCTCAGCCTCCTGAGTAGTTGGGACCACAGGCATGGGCCACTATGCCTGGTTAATTTTTTTGTATTTTTGGTAGAGACAGGGTTTCACCATGTTGGCCCAGCTGGTCTCTTAACTCCTGAACTCAGGCCATCCACCTACCTCAGCCTCCCAAAGTGTTGGGATTATAGGCATGAACCATCACACCCAGCCAAGTCTGGAGGTTTTTGTGAAGAGTTTCAATTTTGGGGTCAGACTGACTGTTTTATTAGAATTTTGGCTCTGCCACTGACCAGGTATGCACTTTTGGACAAATTCCTTAACCCTCTTTAGCCTCTTTTCTCATCTGTGAATGGGGGGGATAATGCTAACTACCTCTTAGATCATGTATTGTGAAGATGGACAAAGAGTCTCTGCTTGACCGAACTACAGTCAGGCTCCGGAACCTTCTTCTAGGCTCAGTTGTGCCCTTCCTTGTAAAATCTGCTTTCAGGAAGAACCCTGCTAAGTCAGTTTACCAAGAACCCTCCACCCTGGATATCTGATCAGCTTCCCCATCCGCCCTGTCCTGCCCAGCCCTGCCAGGGGATGTCTGACTTTCAAGAATCCCCCTTCCCCCTGATGTTTCCTCTTATAATTTTTCATTCCCTGCATCCCACCCTGGTCCTCGGTTATAAATCCCCACTTGTTCCTGCTGTATTCAGAGTTGAACCCAACCTTTCTCCCCGACTGCAGAATCCCATGGTAGGGCTTATACCTATTGCGATGGTTCCAAAGAGGGTCTTCTTTGCTGTGCTTTCACACGTGTCATGGAATAGTCTTTTTTCTTTAATAGGACAGAAAGTTTTAAAGCACCTAGGGCCTCAAAAGATGTGGATTTCCTCCCCACCCTAACCCCTAGAACCATCCAAGTACCATTCCTCCTGAAGCTGTCCACCCGCCAACACGTAGGTACTGCAGGCCTACTGCAGTCTATACTGGCTTGGGGAGTGTTTTTGCGGATCTTTAACACTGGGTGTGAAATCTACGTTGGGGGACACAACTACATTAGGATGGCACCTGGTGGGGGGGTCACACCCAGATACAATGTCTCCTGCGGCCCCTTGGGTGACCTGGTGTGATGAAAAGGGCTCCGCCCTGAAAGGCAGGTCTGGCTCTTCTGCGGGGCTGCGGGGATGGGGCGCGCCGGGGCAGTGTCGCCGGGGGTCGGGCTGGGGGCGCGACGCAGCGGCGCCGGGCGGGGGCGCCCTCGGCGCCGCAGCCGCCAGGTGGCACCACGGGCCCGGGGCCTGGGCGCGGGCAGCGGCGGCGGCGGCGGGCGAGGCAGGAAGGGGTTAAGGAGCTGGCGGAGCAGCAGCAGCCGCCGCCGCCGCCGCCGCCGCGGCTCTTCGGGGAAACCCGGCGCGGGGCGCGGGAGGGAGCGGCCGGGGCGGCGGGGCCGGGCCAATCGGGCGGCGGGCCCGGCGCGCGGAGCCAGCGACATGGAGGGGGGCGCGGCGCCCGGCCGCCCGTGACGCGCCGCCGCCCGGCCCGCTCTCGGCGAGCCCGAGCCGCCGCCGGCCCCGCGGCGGAGATGAGCAGGTCCGCGACGCTGCTGCTGTGCCTGCTGGGCTGCCACGTCTGGAAGGCGGTGACCAAGACGCTGCGGGAGCCCGGCGCCGGAGCCCAAGGTCAGTGGGCGGCGGCGGGGCCGGGGGCTTTGTGTCGCGCCGGGCCTGGCGCGGAGGCGGCGGCGGCGGCGGCGGCGGCGGGAGGGTCCCGGGCCGCGTGGTGGCGACGCAGCCCGAGCCGCATCGGGAGCCTCCGGGCCTGCAGCACCCGCAACGCGCTCCCGAGGGGGCGGCGCGGGCCGGCGACGCGGGGTGACCCGGGCGGAGGCTTCGGGGGCCGGGGATCGGGGGCTGGGTCGGGCGGGGGCGCGGGCAGCTCCAGCTGCTGTCGCCGCTGCGGCGGGGGCTCGTCTGGATGCGCCCGGGGGTCCCCTTTATGCCGCGCCTCGGACACGCGGCTCTGTCTCCCATGTCGCCGCGGACAGAGGGGCCGCCCAGGGCGCGCCGCCCGATCGCGCTCCCGGCTCCCCACGCCGGGCTCGGGTCTGGGAAGTCCCAGCTCCTGGGCTGCGCTGGGGCCTTTTGTTGTGGCGGGAGGGGGTGGCTGACGCCCCGGGGTGCCCCCTGTGTCCCGGGGCCCCGAGGTCCGCTGCCGCCACTAGCCACTAGCCTGCCGCAGTTTGGGAAAGTTTGGGGGGTTCTCTCCCCCTGCCTATCTGACGTCTCTTCCAGACCATAAGGGATTTGCTCAGCGGCCCATGAGTCTTCTCTGTAAGGGAAGAAAGAATTGAACTGGGAGGCCCTCATCGCTCACCAAAAAAAAAAAAAAAAAAAAGAAAAATCCTTTCCAGATCAGTTTGTCGCCAGCTCGTGCCTTTTGTCTCGTCTTTGGCCTCCACAAATCTGCTTTCCAGCCCTGGGAGTAACGTGGTCGCCTCTGAGAATGGCCACGAGCCTGTCTTTTGTTTTTAAAATCAGCGTTTTTTGAGGGGAGTCCCCCACACCCACCCTGAGGCTTGCTTGGCACATTTTTGTGGGGACAGCGTCGAGGACTCCTCTGTTGCTGGCGTTTTCAAAAGGGCCACTGAGGCCCGCAGATGAGCCTCTGCATTCACCCAGGGCACCGCTGCCTGGACTCTTGCCGGGGGCTCAGGTCTCTGCGAGGGAGCTCCCTGCAGCCCTGCAGAACCCCGGGATTCCGAGCCCGAGGCCTGTCCCCTCAGAAGGGTGTGTGTCCTGCAAAGTTGGCCCTGCAGGCCAAAGAAACGAGGAGTGCTGCATCCGAGGGTCTCCTTGCTGGAACCCCCTTTCCTCGGCTAACATGCTCAGGGTGCCTGGGAGCAGAGACGCCCGGGCTTCCACCACGATGTTGCTACGGGGAGGAAAGGCTCTGCCAACACTCTGTTGGGTTGAGTTTGTTGCCTACATGTTGAGTTGAAGGTTTTCATATTCTGGCACTTGCAGTATCATTTCCTGGTATATCTTAAATGCATTGCTGCTTCTATGGCCATGGTAGAATATGACCGTTATGAATTGTGTATAATTTTAGTAATGCATATCATGGAAGAGCGGACAGCTACAAAATACAAAAAGACCTATATGTCTCTTCGTGTAGGAAACGAATGTTTAGGACATTAGATCATCAGTGTTGCATTGCAGCTTCTTTTATTAATACCCTACTGCTTTTTTGAATCAGCTATTTTAGAGAATGATATTTGCACTTCAGCGAGGCCGTTAATTTTAAAGAGCAAGTTGAATTTTTCCTTTTGCACTTGAAATACCAATATATGGAAATATTAAATTCATGCACTTCTGAATTAGAGAAAGGAAGGCATGTCTTCAATATATATATATATATATATTCAATATATATATAACAGGTTTAGGTCTAAGACCACGTTTTACCCAGCTCTTGCTGCTAAAAATCCGCCTCTCAGGAATGGAATATTATGCGAAATGGGAGGGAAATGGTCAACATGAGAAGAGGTTTCTGCCATGGCTAGCAGTGGCTTAGTTTAGGGTATGGTTGGAGTGGGAGATCAAGTATCTTGGCATAGTTTACCCCTTGGATTACTTCCTTTGTTGTTATCTACTGTAAGGATGGCTTTTTAAAGCCTTGAGCCCAGGAACTCTTTCAGAAATCAGGTCTCACTACCTGGCATTTGGATTTTGAGCTAGCAGCATTTTTAAGGGAATGGACAATTTCTCCTTTGACATTAGAAGGTCAGTCCCAACTCACTGAGTTCTTCAAAGCATCTTAATGTTCACTTGCTGTAGTATGACGTAGTTTTAAAATTCATGTGTTCTCTGCTTTCCTGGATCATGTACACGATGAAGACAAATGCTGCATCTGATTTCACTTTGCATTTCCCACAGTGGGTTGTAGGTTGTTATGCATACAGTTGGTGCTCAGATGGTGCTGAGTAGGTAAGCATCAACCATAGCTAATACCTACACCATAACGCAACCTTTAGTGATCATCATTGGCTTGCATTTTAAGAAGAAAAGTTCAATGTTTACCTTCCCCAAAAGCTAATTTGTAAGAATCTTGCTTTTATGTAGAATCTGTTGTTTGAATCATTCTTTGAACAAGCATTGCACATACATATTATGCACCAACAGGATTTGGCAATTACTTTGGTAAAACTGCTTAGAGACCTCAAACAGACGGAAATCATATACTGTAGTAGTCCAACTAGATTGCTAGAACTAAATGACACCTTTTTGATTAAATGAGTCTTTATGTCATCTGATGAAACTAGCATCTGCAGAATTTCTTGGCATTACTTTGCTTTTTATATATTCAAGATAAAATTGGAGGCTTGGCTTCAGACTCTCTTCCCGTAGCTGCTTCGAATTGGCAAAGTGATTTCCAATGCCACAGTCAGTTGTCACGGTAAGGGTTGGCTTTGTTTATCATGAATTTGAACTAGCTCTAGACTATGACTATTTTTATTAAGTGTTTCCTCTCAGTTGCTCTGGAGCATTTATAGTATCGAATCTATTTTCTGGGAATTTTTCAAAATTGTTGTTCAAAAGTATTGACCCATTTTGATTTTCTTCACCTCTTTTGCAAAACTGTAATGAGGCTGGGTTCAATAGAGAGAGCTGTCCTGGAGGAGCAGTAAGCTGTGCAGATGTACTCTTTAGGGATGTGTTTTTGAAGCCCAGCACTCTTATTTATGTGCCAAAAGGAAGGTCAGAGCTAGGTTAAGAACTTCATGCTCAGACATCTTATTGGATGATGTTTATTTTGTCGCTGGATATCTAGCAGGTGTTTGAGGCAAACCCAGTGCTGAAAAGTGCAAGGTGTTTTGCGATGATGCGCTAGCTTTTTGCTCATCTCAGAAAAGCTGCAATCTGTTATAACATTTGAAGACAATGATTGGCTTTGTCTCTTCTCTAAGAGGTCTATTCTTTGCCAAACTCAAACTTCAGTTATTAGAACACTGGGATCTGTTGAAAGACCACGAAGCCATGTAAGGTATCAGGAGGATCATCCAACAAGCCTAACTTACGGTGACATTGTATTAAGAGCATGACTTCTAAATAAAACTCATGGGCTCACATCCTGGGAAACCGCAGGAGCTGGACTCACAGAGGCCGCTGGGCTTCCTTGCAAGCCAGGTGTGAGGGCTTTATGCAGGAGCAACAGTAACATCTAGGGAATTTCTGGAAAAGTCTTTGAAATGACTTCATGAATTATTTTTATATCTTATTTGTACTTGTCTATAATACTTTGTAACTTATAGGTTGTTACCTTAACATCCAAACCAAAAGAAGGAAAATAGTGCATGCATTTCTAAACAAATAGCTTTCAAGTATTAATACTTTCTCAGTTTTTGTGTGTGTGTTTGTTTGTTTGTTTGTTTGTTTTGAGATGGAGTCTCGCTCTGTCGCCCAGGCTGGAGTGCAGTGGCGTGATCTCAACTCACTGCAAGCTCCGCCTCCCAGGTTCACGCCATTCTCCTGCCTCAGTCTCCTGAGTAGCTGGGACTACAGGTGCCCGCCACCACGCCTGGCTATTTTTTTTGTATTTTTAGTAGATAAGGGGTTTCATCGTGTTAGCCAGAATGATCTCGATCTCCTGACCTTGTGATCCGCCTGCCTCAGCCTCCCAAAGTGCTGGGATTACAGGCATGAGCCACTGCACCCAGCCACTTTCTCAGTTTTAATCAATTCTTTATTTTAACCAAATTACTGACATCTCAGTAAATCTAACTGTGCATCTTTATTATTGCTGGGAAATACTAATTTGGAATTTTTAATAAATATTAATTTCCTACTTTTAGTAAACACTGCTTACCAAGAAAACATATGGAAATAAACTGGATAGACAGCAGGTATGTATAATGCTGTATCATGAAGAAAAAATTGAATAAAGCATATTTCAGAGATCTAGAGAGAGGAGTTTGTCCTGTGATGACAAATACCTTGTGTACTTTTTGTGAAACATGTTTAGTGGAAATTATACATACCAGTAATGCTGTTATAGTTTGATCAAGTTATAGAGAAGATTTTACACAAATCATTTTCACTTAATATCACCAAATATGACTTTAGGACTCATAAAGACGGCAGTTTTAGCTAAATTATTCAACTCCAGGAAACACAGAACTGAATATATTTTAAATGTATTTTAGAAATTAAGTTTCAGGCCAGGCACAGTGGCTTATGCCTGTAATCCCAGCACTTTGGGAAGCTGAGGTGGGTGGATCGCTTGAGGTCAGAAGTTCAAGACCAGCCTGGCCAACGTGGTGAAACCTCATCTCTATTAAAAATACAAAACGTAGCCAAGCATGGTGGCGGGCGCCTGTAATCCCAGCTACTCGGGAGGCTAAGGCAGGACAATTGCTTGAACTCGGGAGGCAGAGGTTGTAGTGAGTAGAGATCGCACCACTGCACTCCAGCCTGGGCAACAGAATGAAACTCCATCTCAAATAAATAAATACATGAAACTACATTTCAGTACTCGACCAAAGAATTGTATGAAATAACTGTTTCTTAAAAAAGAAATTCTACAGTGTAACCCAATAGCATACCCTGAATTAAGAAAACCATTATTTAAAAAATAAATCTAACTTGTAAATAGGCAAAATTTGAGGCAACTAACCATTTTAGAAAGGGCTTCAGGTTAAGTTCCCCTAAACAGCTGAGTCAGCATATGTAAGATGACTCCACCTTCTCTGATCAAGCCTCTGTTTCATTCGCCAGCTCCTCTTACTTTTAGATTCAAGTCTGTCTGCAAACATTTGCTCATCTTTCTTTCTTTCTGTCTGTCTGCATTTCTCTCTCTTTTTTTTTTTTTAACAGAGTCTCACTGTGTCCCCCAGGCTGGAGTGCAGTGGTGCAATCTCAGCTCACTGCAACCTCTGCCTCCCAGGTTGAAAAGATTCTCCTGCCTCGGCCTCCCTAGTAGCTGGGATTACAGGTGCATGCTACCACACCTGGCTAATTTTTGTGTTTTAGTAGAGATGGGGTTTCACCATGTTGGCCAAGCTGGTCTTGAACTTCTGACCTCAGACAGTCCTCCCACCTAGGCCTCCCAAAGTACTGGGATTACAGGTGGGAGCCACCATGCCCAGTCCTTTTCTTCCTTTCATTTACCATTTTCAGAACTTATTAATCTTTGCAAATTCTGGGAATTAAGCCCCTCTGGATGGACGACTCAGGCTCTCGCATCTTTAGTTGATGTCATAGCTCCATCTCTTTATGTCCAGCAAACTGGTAGACATCTCCGTTTCAGCACTCCAGGTTTACCTCAAACTCTTTGTCCTTCCTTCTGCAGCCCGGCATTCCTGCTTCTCTGTTAACCAGACTCAAAATCTAAGTGTCTGCTTACGTCCCTTCCCTCCCTTAAAATCCATGCAGTAGGAATCTCATAGATAAATTTACGTAGCAAATGTTAGTGCCCGAAGAGTCTTGGGGATAAAGTTGATGTTCCTTGTTCTGGAGATGAGGAAACCCAGGCCAGGTGACCTAAGGTAATTGTGCTCTCTGGCCATGCAGACGTTGTGGTAGTAGAATAATGGCCCCCAGAATGTCCATATTCTGATCCCTGGAACCGTATGTGACTTTACATGGCTAAAGACTGTGGCCAAGTGATTCTGTTAAGGATCTTGAGATGGGAAGATTAGTCTGAATTATCATCCAGCTGGGCCCATTGTAATCAATCACAAGAGGGAAGCAGGAAGGTCAAAGTCAGAGGAGATGTGCTAATAGAAGCAAGGGGTCCAAGTCAGGGAGAGAATGAAGACGCTACACAGATACCTTTGCAGATAGAGAAAGGGGCCAGGAGCCAAGGAATGCAGGTGGCTTCTAGAAGCCAGAAAAGGCAAGGAAACCAATTTTACCCTAGAGCCTCCAGAAGGAATGCAGGCTTGCTGACATCTTGGCTTTAGCCCAGTGAAACTGATTTTGGACTTCCGACCTCCAGAACTGTAAGATTATAAGTGTGTGTTGTTTCCAACCACTGAGTTGTTTGATAATTTGTTATGGCAGCAATAGGGAACTAACACAGACCCTAACCCCTAAGAACTGTGAATAGAGATTCGCCCACACAGGATGGTGGTGCAGCATGGACTGCTTTTTGGAACTGAGCTACTGAAGTTACATTTGGAAAAACGCATGGAGTTTTTGCATCGGTTTACCAGAATTCCACCAAACTGGAGCCATGACAGGGATCCTTGGGGACCACCTCAAGGACACCCACCATCACCAGAATAACTGTTTTCCTTCCAGATGAGGAAGGAAAAGTGGGCTGTGGCTTTTCTTATGTTCGGGTCCATTGAGTGTGCTGTGTTCCTTCCAGAGCTGGGATTCACACCTGCAGGGAGAACATGTAGCCTCTGAAACCCCTGCCAAAAGCCACTTTCAGAAGTCTTGCTGGCTTTTTGACTGTGCTCTAATTTTTGTTGAAACATATCTGTTAGTAACCAAATGAAGTAAAAGAAAGCTGGGATGGGATGTCGCCATAGTCCCTTCTGCCTTTATGTAATGAAATGTTAGGGACCGCCCCCCCACCCTCCACCCACCCGACTTGAATGGCCTCCCAGTTGTCCTCCCCAGGGCTCAGCATGGCCCCTCTGAGATTTCTCTGCCTCTCTCAGGCAAATGCACCCCACCAGCTCCAGGGCCCAGGGCCATTTGAACAATCCAAGAAGCCCCCATGCTGATGAGGGAGGAGCGCTGTGGAAACACCTCGACAAGCCTTGCCACTGCATCTGTTGGGGAATAGAGGGAGGGAGGAGTTGCTTGCTTTCCTGCAATTTCCATCTCATTTGGGAGCAAAAGAATCCAGTTCAGTGGGCCCCAAAGAGGGGAGACAGGTGACATTTGGGCAGGGTCTCAAACAGAAGCTGAAGGGGTCACTGATGGCTTGGTGGAGTCATATGGGACTCCATCCAACCTCATGTCTAGGGGAAGGAGAAGGGTGATGAAGTGTCCTGCCATCAGTCTCCTGCCAAGGAACTGAACTTAAAGCTGCAGAGAAGCTTGAACCTTCTCGATTTCTGGGCTTTGGCCAAAAGGTAGATAAATAATGGAGGAAGGGAGTGAATCATTCAGTTATTTTAAGGCCGATGACCTTGCCACAGGTTAAGGTAGCATCTTTGTCTCTCTCTCATAGCTTAGACATAGTATTCATTCATTTCTGCTGATTTCCACTCCATGTCTACCTTAGCCCTCTTGGGTCCTTGCTAAAGACAGCATCGTCTTCATCTCAGTTTTAATTTGTCCTTTCAACTCAAAACCCTCTTCCATGTTGTCTGTCTTCAAGCACCATTTAATTCACATTCCTGTCCTGCAGAATAATGCGAAGTATGTCCCTTTTGCCCGAAGTGTGAAGCCTGGATGACTAAGCCCGGCCTTTACGACCTCCATGCCTGTCTTTGAATGCCTTTCCCACTGTCTCCTGCTCTTCCCAGTTCAAATCGTCTCCTCTAAAGCGTTTCCTTTATCCTCCTTTCCATAGTTGCTCTACACCCTCACTTCCTTCATCTGTAGCTGACCTGTTTTCTGCTCTTGAAATCAAGTTCCTAAATCTTAGCATCTGCTGTATGAAGACAGTGTGCTAAATACTTATTGGACAAAAAGAGGTGGTCTGTCGGGGAGGGGCATTATATTTTTTGCATAAGCTTGATTATTTTGCAATTCTCACCTCGGAAAGTTTACAATCCTATTGGAAAATAAGTGGAAAAATAAATGCCTAAAGTGAGAAGGACATCTAGATGGTAGTTTTTATGTAATTAGGCATGAGTCTCTTGATTCAGATGAAACCCACTAACTCTCGTATGACTAAAAACAAGTTCAGCTACTGGTTGTTGGTAATGTTTTGTTTTTGTTTTTGTTTTTGAGACAGAGTCTCGCTCTGTCGCCTAGGCTGGAGTGCAGTGGCACCCTCTCAGCTCACTGCAACCTCTGCCTCCTGGGTTCAAGAGATTCCCCTGCCTCAGCCTCCCCAGTAGCTGGGATTATAGGCACATGCCACCACTCCTGGCTAATTTTTGTATTTTTAGTAGAGATGGGGTTTCACCCCATCTCAGATTTAGTAGAGACGGGCCAGCCTGGTCTCAAACTCCTGACCTCAGGTGACCCACCCACCTCAGCCTCCCAAAGTGCTGGGATTATAGGTGTGAGCCACCATGGCGGCCAGTAATGTTGATTTCTAGATATTTCAAGGAGTTATGCACGGTGGGACACAGAAGTCTTATTTCAAGGAGCATAAGTGTGTATTCCATCACTCAGGATTCCTAAAAGTTGCAAATTAAGTAGAAGAGGCCCTAGTTGATCAAATATTTAAAGTAGCTACAGCACAGCCTGGACAATACTGGTGCTTTAGTGATTTTCATCGTCACTGGGAATCTCTGAATAATAACGATGGAAGAATTAGGTCAAGCTGTCTTATATTCCTTAAACTGGATGGGTAGATAAGATGATCAAATGTGGATTTCATCTGTTCATCCATATTTTGAACTCCTACTTTTATATGAAATATATAAGGACACTCAAATGTGAGAACTAGCAAGATCTTTTGGAATTTTGGGAAGTAGCAGTTAGCTTAGGAAAAGATACCTTGGAAGTGAAAATTGAGTTTACCAGAGATTGTTTTATAATTTTGTTTGCCTTGTTTTAATCTGTACTCCCACAAGGATAGAGAGGCATACACTTAATGAGAAAAGGCCCAGGTAGTTCCAAGTCAGATGAACATTTTTATTTTCTTAGATGTACTATCTTGAGCTCAGAATTTGAATAGGAAAATGATTGAATTTGTATTGGGAGAAAGAGTTTTAATGTCATTTTGGCAGAGCTGAATGAAGAGCACTGAACACTTTTATTAAAGTTGTCCCCAATCCATAAAGTGAGTCCTATCAGTAAGATTTATGATTTTTTTTTGAGACAGAGTCTTGCTCTGTCACCCAGGCTGGAGTGCCATGGCATAATCTCGGCTCACTGCAGCCTCTGCCTCCTGAGTTCAAGCGATTCTCTTGCCTCACCCTCCCGAGTAGCTGGGACTACAGGTGCACACCACCTCACCTGGCTAGTTTTTGTATTTTTTGTAGAGACAGGGTTTTACCATGTTGGCCAGGCTGGTCTCGAACTTCTGACCTCAGGTGATCCACCCACCTCAGCCTCCCAAAATGCTGGGATTACAGGCATGAGTTGCTACCCTTGGCAAGACTTCTGATTTCAAGAACAGCCATTAGTAGCCCAGTCTCAATGAATGACGTTCACTCTCTTCCTCTTTATTCTGACATTATTTGAGTGTGGTTGTGGTGTGGTTTCCTTGCACCACAATTATGGCTTAAATCTCTTCCCTCACAGAGGAGTCAATAAGAAGTGTATTCTAAGGGAAATGTATATTAACAGAGAGAATTAAAGCACGTGTACTTTGTATCTTAACATTTTATTATAAGTAACATTTGCTATTATCTTAGTTGTTTAATTATTAATAATTTATCCTTTATAATTAATCATATTTTATTAATGATTAGGTGACGACATTGATTATAGTTTCTTATAAAGGTAAGACGAGGGCTTGCAAAAGTTAGGTCCAAATTTAGATCGAAAAAATAATAACCCTCTGTAGCCAGTAACTATGGCAGTTACAAAGTTGCAGCATAGAATGGGTTAATTTTATTTTAATCCATGGGAAAAATACTTAGATCTTTTAGGTGACTGTAACATTAATCAAGTAAAAAGTCGAAAGTGTGGCTTGGCTACCAGAACCGCCAGGGTGATGTTGGGCTGCCTTGATGAAGGCGTGGTTTCTAGAAAGCAGATTGGGGCATAATCTTACTGTATCATGAGCTGATCTGACTATACTCAGATGATTGTGGTTGACCCTAGATGCCAGACACATTCAAAGGACAGCTTGAAATCAGGTCTCCTGGCATTGTATGCTCTGCTTATCCGTGTGATAACTGTTACCCATTCATGATGTTTGCTGGTGTTGGGCTGGACTGGCACTCCTCTGTGCCCACCCATCCCTGTGACAGAAACCTCATTGTCCCTGGTCATGACAAGCTCAGCCCTAGAATAGCTAAACTGAACTAATCAGAAGGAGGAAATCCTAAAGGGGTAGCCTCAAAGTCTTGTTTGTGAAAGATGGTTCAATTCCAGAGAGTATTTGATCTAGAGGGAAAAAAGGGAAGCATGTTAAGGAACTTCTGATATTTTCATTGCATTAGTTTTCCATTTCTACCTTAACGAACTGCCACAAATGGAGCAATTTAGCCACCCATTATTGTCTCACCATTTACATGGGTCAGAAGCTTGGGTATAGACAGCATGGTTCAGTCAAGTCTCTGGTTGGGGTCTCACAAGGTCAAAAGCAAAGCATCGGGCCCAGGTGTGGTGGCTCACACCTACAATCTCAAAACTTTGGGAAGCCAAGGTGGGGAGATTGCTTGAGCCCAGGCATTTAAGACTACCCTGTGCAACATAGCAGGACTTCATCTCTACAAATAATAAAAAAAATTAGCCAGGCATGGTGGTACACTGTGGTCCCAGCTGCTTAAGAGGCTGAGGTGGAAGGATCGCTTGAGCCTGGGAGGTTGAAGCTGCAGTGAGCCGTGATCACATAACCGCACTCCAACCGGAGCAACAGAACAAGACCCTGTCTCAAAACAAACAAACAAACAAACAAACAGCTGGGCCATGTTCCTTTTTGGAATTCAGTTCCTTGCCAATTCAGGATGGAGTCCCTGTTGTTTTGTTGTCCTGGCCAGAAGCCTTTCTGACCTCCGTGAGGCCACCTGCATTCCTTGTCACCTTGCCCCTTCCATTGCCAAGTCAGCAAGAGTGCATCCAGGCCTCCTGCATGTCCAGTTGCTCTGACTTACCCTTCTGCGACGTCTCTCTGGCTACAGCTGGAGAAAGTTCCCTGCTTCTAGGGGCTCATTCAGGATAATCTCTTTATCTTGAAATCCATAGCCCTAATGACCTCTGCAGTCCCTTTTTAACACAATGTATTGACAGGTTCCGGGGATGAGGGCTTGGATGTCTTTGGAGGACTCATTCCGCCTGCCCAGCTAAAATGTCGAGGATGGATCATGACCCTCTGTCCAATGGCCAGAGGGTACCGGGAGGCCCATTTCTCTGCCCTTGAGGATGTTGAGAAGGAGGAAAAAGACTGCTGAGGGTGTCCTCTCAGGTTCTGGACAAGTGACTTCCCTGTCCCTTCCCTCCCTGAGACTTTAGAACCCACCATGGACACACATTGCAAGGAAAAAAGGCAGCTTCTGCAATCCTGAAAGCTGTATCTAAAGTGGTGCTGTTTTTGTATGCTGACTTTAGGACCCCAGGAGTGAAGTTTGTTTAGATAACTGTGATTTATTAAATTCTTGGAATTGTCAATATTGATTTGTCTGCTCTACTTAATGTTAAATTGATGTAATAGAGACAGGCACTCTCAGCTTCATTCACCTGGACACGTAAAACTAACAATGACGATTAGGAAACATGTGCTCGGTGCTTCTTACATGCCAGACAGTATGCAAAGGAGCTTGACAGATCATCTTATTTAATCTTCACATCAATCGCATGCAGCGTAAATATCATTCTCCCTCTATAGAAGAGGACTGTGAGGTGCAAAGAAGTTAAACGACTTTCCCAAATTTGCACATTAATTGGAAGACTCTACTGTTATGTAGGAGACAGCCTGGACTTCACCCCCCAACTGTGCTGCTTTATGACTTAGAGGATTATATTATAATTTCACACAATGTTGATCCTCATAGCATTTTACCAATGTAAATAAGGGGCTTTTCATGGGCCTGGTAATTTTCATGAACAAAGATGAAAACACCCCATGTGTGGTTCCTGTTTGCCCTTGAACCATGAAAAGCAACCTTGAGCATCTTTTATGAGGGAGGCTTGGTACTTGATACTGCATGGGATCCAGATGTGTGGAAGAGATAAGAAGCTCCCACAAATAACTCTCATGAGCTCTTAGGGAGGTCCAATAGAACAGAGTGGGATTTGGGTTTACACCTAGCTGGGATTGAGGGAATCTTCTGGCTTCTGTGTTCAGAGCTCATTAATATTTGGCAAACTGTTTATATAAAAAGAGAAACATGTTTGAACCCAGCGACTGGTGAGTTGGGGAAAGGAAAGATGAGGTTACGTGTAAAACATTCAGGTATGATTGGATTCATATAGCATAATGAGATGCCTTTTTTCTCCTTTTGGCATAGAGTGAGGGCTTTCTTTGCTCTGAAATAAGTGTGAAATACCAGTATTTATTTGGTATTTGAACTTGTAAAAGTTTAATATTTTTCTTTCTTTTTAAAAAAGCTTCTAGACAGGCACAGTGGCTCACAGCTGTAATCCCAACACTTTGGGAGGCTGAGGCAGGAGGATCGCTTGAGCCCAGGAGTTCAAGACCAGCCTGGAAAACATAGGGAGACCTCGTCTCTACACAAAATTTAAAAATTAGCTGGGCATGGTGGCAGGCACCTGTGGTCCCAGCTTCTTGGGAGGCTGAGGCGACAATATCACTCAAGCCCAGGTGTTGGAGACTGCAGTGAGCCATGATCCTGTCAGTGCACTCCAGCCTGGGTGACAGAGCAAGACCTTGTCTCAAAAAATAAAAAGCTTTCTACTTCCAATCTTTGCTTATACAAAGACTCAGAAAACTAATTTTGAACTGATAGATGGTATTATGGGACCGTAATAGGTTTTTATTTTTCCAGTTTATCTCATGAAAATGTCAGTCATACAAAGAAACGGAAAAAATTTTGCAGTGAATACCCATACACATCACTTAGGCTCTGTAATTAACATTTTATTATGCTTGCCTTATTACTTACCTGCTCATTTATTCATCCTTCTATCCATCCATTAATCATATTCTGTGCCTTTTAAAGTGTGTCTCAGGCATCAGTGCCCTTTCCCCTAAATAAATACTTCAGCATGTATCTCATTAATTAGTGTTCCATATTTACTTAATGCTTATTTTTCCTCTTAGGGAAATTTACATACCAGGAAATTCACAAATATTAAGTGCTAACCTAGGCATACACATGTGCAGCTCAAAACCCTATCAAGGTGCCAAATATTTCCATCATTCCAGAAAGGTCCCTCATTCCCTTCCTAGTAAATCCCTGCCTCTACTCTTCAGGGCAACCACTGTTCTGATTATTTTCTACTACAGATTAGTTTTCTGTCTTTTTTAGAACTTCATATAAATCGACATTATGTACTCTGGTACTCTGGTTTATTTTATTCACCATGGATTTTTTGAGATACATCCATTTATTTTTGGTTTGTTTATTTATTTATTTATTTATTTTGAGACGGAGTCTCGCTCTGTCACCCAGGCTGGAGTGCAATGGTGTGGTCTCGGCCCACTGCAAGCTCCACCTCCCGGGTTCACGCCATTCTCCTGCCTCAGCCTCCCGAGTAGCTGGGATTACAGGCGCCCGCCACCATGCCTGGCTAATATGTTTTGTATTTTTTAGTAGAGACAGGGTTTCCCCACGCTGGCCAGACTGGCCTCGAACTCCTGACTTCAGGTGATCCACCCGCCTCAGCTTCCCAAAGTGCTGGGATTACAGGCATGAGCCACTGTGCCCGGCCTTTTTTTGTTTGTTTGTTTTTGTTTTTTGAGACAGCCTCACTCTGTTGCCCAGGCTGGAGGGCAGTGGCATGATCTCTGCTCACTGCAATCTCTGCCTCCCAGGTTCAAGCGATTCTCCTGCCTCAGCCTCCCGAGTAGTTGGGATTACAGGTACCCACCACCACACCTGGCCAATTTTTGTATTTTCAGTAGAGACAGGGTTTCACCATGTTTGCCAGGCTGGTCTCGAGCTCCTGATCTCAGGGGATCCACCCGCCTCGGCCCCCCAGAGTGCTGGGATTACATACGTGAGCCACCACGAAAGGCCCAGATTCATCCATTTATCCCATATCATTCAGTACTGATACTACTGTATCAGTAGTAGTTTGTTTCTTTTTATTGCTGCATAACGTTCTTCTGTATTAATATTTCACAGTTTACCCTTTCTTCCATTGCTGGGCGCTCAAGTTATTTCTAGTGTTTGGCTGTTCTATCTGTAGTTGCTGTAAACAGTTTCGACAATTCTTCCATGGACAATATTTTTCATTTCTCTCCAGAACATACCTAGGAGTGCCATTGCTAGATCATAGGGTAGGTGAGTGTTCCCTTTCATAAGAAACTGCTAGACTTTTTCCCAAATTGGTTGTATCTTTCTATACTCCCCTTGAAAATATATGAGAAATTTTCTCTTGCTTCTCTTTCTCATAAACATAAGGTATTGTTAGTTCTTTAAATTTTAGCCATTTTGAGGGCAGATTTATATATATATATGTATGTATGTATTTATATATATATATGTATGTATGTATTTATATATATGAATTGATTTTTAAAATATAGCACATTCATTTTACTTTCCAGCTATAAATGGCTTGACTTTTTTAATGTGGAAGCATTGTTAGAAACCAAAGTTGAGGTTTCACTACGATGTTTATGTTTATTTTCAATAATGTCTTAATCCAAACTTATATTTTTCTTTATTCTATTAGCCCATCAAATGATCAAATGATCTCAATGAATATCCTATCTGATTATGTAGAACCACTTTATCACACACCTACCAGATAAGGTATGGTGTGGATAGGTGTGTGTGCATGTGTATTTATATATGGATGCATGTGTATACATGCATGTGTGTGTGTGTGTCTGGGTAAAGAAGGAATGGGAGAGAGAGGAAGTAAAAACGCTTTTGGAGTTTAATATTTGCATGCCACAGGTATGGAACTGGAGGTGATATGGGACTGTTTTGATGCCTGTTCCCTCTTTACTTATTTATTTATTTTATTATTATTATTATTTTTTGAGATGGAGTCTTGCTCTGTCGCCCAGGCTGAAGTGCAGTGGCACAATCTTGGCTCACTGCAACCTCCACTTCCTGGATTCAAGCGATTCAGGAATCCAGTCTCAAGTAGCTGGGACTACAGGTGCACACCACCATGCCTAGCTAATTTTTGTATTTTTAGTAGAGAGAGGGTTTCACCAAGTTGGCCAGGCTGGTATCAAACTCCTGACCTCAGGTGATCTACCTGCCTCGGCCTCCCAAAGTGCTGGGATTACAGGCGTGAACCACCATGCCTGGAAGGAAACCCAAGTACATTTGCCGTTTGGAAGGTGCAACTGTTGATATACAAACAAGAGCCAGGGCTGGCCTTGGTGGCTGATGCCTGTAGTCCCAATACCTTGGGAGGCTGAAGTGGGCGAATCACTTGAGCCCAGGAGTTCAAGACCAGCCTGGGCAACATATTGAGACCCCGTCTCTACAAAAAATACAAAAATTAGCTGGGCGTGGTGGCACGCACCTGTACTCAGGAGGCTGAGGCAGGAGAATTGCTTGAGCCTGGAAGGTCTAGGCTGCAGTGAACCATGATTCTGCCACTGCACTTGCCTGGATGTCAGAGCAAGACCCTGTTGCAAACAAACAAACAAAACTAGCATATCTTAATCCCTAAGCAGCTTCTAGATGTTACTTGAGACGCTTCATTAACTCTTTTGAGTCATTAATGTATTGACTCATTTCTTCAAAGTATTCTCATAACTTTTAAAGGTTAAGTTCTAAGCATATCTATTCCAGAAGTCAGATAATTTGAATCAGCATTGAGCATAACAGGAGATGGTCTACTGGAAAAACTGAAATGCCTCCAGATTGAACAAGCTGCTCCTACAGGTCTCTCATTTATAAAGTTAGACAGGATAGGATTATTTCCTTATTTCCTCTGCTTGTACCATTCACCTATCGTCTGTTGACAAGTCTTAGTGAAAGTATCGTTATTCCAGGAGCAGTACCTGTTGTAGAATGGAAGTTCATGATGTCAAAGCAATTCTGAGGCCCACGGTGCTGGGTCAGCGGGAGCTGCAGCCCAGCCTGTTTCTTCTCTTTATGTGAAGTGCTGTTGGAGAAAGGACTTACAGATCGGACTCGGTGCTTCCCCGGGCCTGGCTCCCCAGGCGTCTTCCTGAGACTTGAAGGGAGACATTGCCAAGTTCATTGCCTTGAAAGTTCCACCGTCCACCACTTTTTTTTGAGACAGGGTCTCGCTCTGTCACCCAGGCTGGAGTGTAGTGGCGTGATCTCGGTGCGCTGCAACCTCTGCTTCCCGGGTTCAAGCAGTTCTCCTGGCTCAGCCTTCTGAATAGCTGAGACTACAGGCAAGTGCCACAACACTTGGCTAATTTTTATATTTTTAGTGGAGGCGGGGTTTCACCATGTTGGCCAGGCTGGTTTCAAACTCCCAACCTCAGGTGATCCGCCCACCTCAGCCTCCCTAACTGCTGGGATTACAAGTGTGAGCCACCATGCCCAGCCTGCCCACCACTTTTTATGCAGAGCTCCAGGAGCCACTTCAGAGGTGGGGAGGGATCTGGAGTGCAAGCATGGCGAGAGTTTTGGGCCACCAGATGTGACTTGGTTGCACTCTAATCACTAGCTCAGCAGGCACACACCTGGGCTGTCCATGTCCCAGAAGGGACTTTGGAAGGACAATGCCTGGCGTTGATGACATTCATTCTGAGTTGCCGTGTGATTGTGTTAAAGCTTACTTTGCATTTGGCATTTCAGATGAGCGTGCATGCCCACGGCCTGATTGAATGGAGCTGAGCTGTTTTCAGGGTCCATGTTTGGGATTAGGGCAGAATGGAGTGTTGGAGTCAGGTCCCTCCCTTTACTTCAGGTTCCTCCCTTTCTTCCCTCTTGTTTTTTCTCCCCTGGGGCCTTTCCTGACTTTTACTGTGTTTCTGAGCCGCCTGCATTGTAGGAGCTGTACCATGTAGAGAACAGTGGCACCTGGTACTCTTCCCCTGCTGTCTACACTGCTGCCTTTTTCCTGGAGGTATTTTCCCATGCCCTTTGTCCGGCTTCTTTGGACTCTGCATGGAGACAGAATTAGTGGTGTAAATAGCCCTTCTGTTGTTTATCTTCAAATACAGATTTTATAAAAAGAGACGATGTTTTCTGAACTTAGGACGTTTTCTTGCTTCAATGCTCATGAGATAATGTTCCTTTGGTCTGATTCCTCAGTGTAGAGCCATACGTCTATTTAGGGTTTCATGTGACAGGAAGTCATATTCTGGGAATTGCCAATCTATCATTATGTCAATATTTATGGTATTATGAAAATCTGTGATTATTCTGAGTTAGGAAAACACAACAGTGTTAGAAAAATGTATGCGTGTTATTCCAAGTATTGTGATACAAAAAGTCAATATCTGCTTCCAAAGGGCGGCGTCAAACTATTGGTGTTTAATGGCATTTGATGATTCACAATATTCCCTTCTCATCAGAGGTTGGAGGTGATTGGTTTTTAGATGCCTCCTTTAGAACAGGGTTTTTCACTTCTCACCCTCTTCTCTTTGTTACCTACCATCTGCTGGACATGTTTTTGAATGTGCGATAAGGCATATGGCTAAGGAATAGAAAAGTTAATGCATGCAACTGGTGTAAGTGGAAGACACAGTGGCTGCAGTCTGGTCAAGTTTGTAGCCCATCTGCCGGAGCACAGAGCGCCCTTTTAAAATGCGGCTTTGCTATCCAGGCCCTGCATCTACCGATTGTCCAAATGTTGCTGGTAGCAAAATTAAGTGTCTCCTCCCTCAGTGACTTCATGTGCACACAGCGCATATGCTCAGTGCATAGTTTTATGGATACGTTTGCTTCCCTTTACTCTAAACCTAAAGATTACATGGTGAAAGTAAACTCCAAGAGTGAGCCTTTTAGCCCATTCACCTCTTGGCAGAGCGAACCATTCAAGTGGCTTTTAACACACACTTTGTATTCTCTTTAGAATTGATTCTTGTGCTGTAACTTGTGTTTTTAGTTGGATTTGAAATAGACAAAAGACTTTCGTTGTGTACTTTCCCCACAACTTTTTGAAACAATTTTCTTCACCTACTTGAACCTCATTTGCCTTTATTTAAAACTTAAAATCACTGCCTGTACTGTTAGAATGTTTCTTTCTGCGTCTTGATGGAAATCTGTTAGATGCCGCATTAAATATTAAACTTAGGCATTCTAAATCAATACATGTTAAAGTGCTTCATAAATGCCAAGTAAACATGAGGGAGGAGCTACTAGCTTTTGGACCCTTGGTATTTTTTATGTGCACTCATTAGACAACGTTTTATTAATTGGGTGAGGCCCATTCCTGTTTCACATTCTTATTTCTGAACTTTGACTTCTTAGAGTCCATGAGAGAATGGACTAACAATACTTGAAGTTAGATACTTGTCAACCCTTTCCTTCTGTTTTTTAATTTTTATTTTAATTTAATTAGTATATTTATTTTGAGTCAGGGTCCTGTTCTGTTGCCCAGGCTGGAGTGCAGTGGCGTGATTTCGGCTCATTGCAACCTCCACCTCCCAGGTTCAAACAATTCTCCTGCCTCAGCCTCCCAAGTAGATGGGACTACAGGTGTGCACACCACACCCAGCTAATTTTTTTTTTTTGTATTTTTACAAAAAAAAATTGTATTTTTTTTGTATTTTGTATTTTTGTATTTAATAGAGACAGGGTTTCACCATGTTGCCCATTATGGTCTTGAACTCCTAAGCTCAGGTGGTCCATCCAGCTTGGCCTCCCAAAGTGCTGGGATTACAGGCATGAGCCACCGCACCTGGCCAATTTTTGTATTTTTTGTAGAGACGAAGTTTTGCCGTGTTGTTCAGGCTGGTCTTGAACTCCCAGGCTCAAGGGATCCACCTGCCTTGGCCCTAGAAGTGTTGAGATTACAAGCATCAGCCACCACACCTGGCCTTAAATTTATTTTTAGTTTTTGTGGGAACATAGCTGTTTTGTGGCTGATGAGCCACTCTCCATCCATCCATCCATCCACCCATCCATCCGTCCATGCATCCATGCATCCGTGCATGCATCCATCCATCCATGCATCCATCTATCCATGCATCCATCCATGCATCCATCCATCCATGCATCCATCCATCCATCCATCCATCCATCGTCCCTACTTTCCTTACCTTTCACCACCAAAATGCTGTCATTATATATTTGCATGGTCGTTTATAGATTTTCAAGTGCTTTCAGATCCATTCTCTATTTTGTTCCTCATCATCCTGAGAGGTATTCAGGAGAGATATGATTCCTTTTTTAGACCAAGAAAAGGTGCTCAAAGTCATTTGGCTGCTGCAGCGTGGAGGTGTTCATCCCACACGCGACCTCTTCCTCTCTCCTCTCAGCTCATCTCTCTTGGGGGCTTACGCACCCACACTCGGGTTCAGTCATGATTCCTGCGCAGGGACTCTTCAGTCCGGGGCCACCCAGTTCCTGGGCTCACAAAGCATAGTTCACATACTCATAATGAACTGAGCACAGACAGTCATTCTTCTGATCTGAGCAAAGATAAAAAGAATTAAGACTCAGTCCTTGCTTTTCAGGGCCTCGAGTTCCTATGGAGGAAGCAAAGATAAATAAAGAAAAAGAGAACGAGTGAAGCAGTCTAGGTGTGAGAAAAGCATGTTAGGGAACAGAGGAGGCAATGAGAAAGGGGCATTCAAGGGGGGCTTCCCAGGGCAGTGACTTTTGAGCTGGAGTCTGAGGGCTAAGAATTAATCATGTAGAGAAGGGTGGCCAGGCATGGTGGCTCACACCTGTAATCTCAGCACTTTAGGAGGCTGAAGCAGGCAGATCACTCGAGGTCAGGAGTTTGAGACCAGCCTGCTTAACATGGCGAAACCCTGTCTCTATTAAAAATACAAAAATCAGCCAGGCGTGGTGGTACACACCTGTAATTCCAGCTACTGGGGAGGCTGAGGCAGGAGTATCGATCGCTCGAACCTGGGAGGCAGATGTTGCAGTGAGCCAAGATGGCACCACTGCACTCCAGCCTGGGCGACAGAGACTGTCTCAAAAAAAAAAAAAGAGAGAATTGGCTGGGCGCAGTGGCTCACGCCTGTAATCCCAGCACTTTGGGAAGCTGAGGCAGGCGGATCATGAGGTCAAGAGATCGAGACCATCCTGGCTAACACAGTGAAACCCCGTCTCTACTAAAAATACAAAAAATTAGCTGGGCGTGGTGGCACGTGCCTATAGTCCCAGCTACTGGGGAGGCTGAGGCAGGAGAATTGCATGAACCAAGGAGGCAGGCGCAGGTTGCAGTGAGCCGAGATCACGCCACTGCACTCCAGCCTGGGCAACACAGTGAGATTCCATCTCAAAAAAAAAGTAAAAATAAAAATAAAATTAATGATATAGAGCAGGAGATGAGGTGCTTTCAAGACCACATGGCCATCCCTGTGGATTGTAGCTTTTGGATGGGACAAGGGAGTAAAGACATCAGCCACAACTAAGATGTCTAAGTTTATGAAGTATTCGAAAAAGAGCATCCTCTTTTTTTATTTGTTTGTTTGTTTTCAAAATTATCAGTGGGTTGCTGAGCTTTTGCTAGTGAACTCAGGTCTCATACCACGGGGGCATCACGTGTAGGGGTGTTACTCTAATTCTGTGAACCGGGTGCCGTGTCTGATCTATCTCCCTCTCACAGATTATTATCATTCGTCTTCACCCATTTATTCTGCTTGGTTGGTTCATCTTCAACCAGATATTCCAACATCAAAGCGCCTGGCTTTTCCAGCATGAATTTTCCTCCAGCCCACCTGTTCTGCTAATCTCATGTGATTTGTTTAGAACACCCTTAGTTGTCTTTGTGGCTGATCTCTTTTACTTTCTTTCCTCGTTCTTGTTGTTGCCTTTTCAGTTAACTAAAGAGTGTCCACATCACAGCAACCAAAAGGGTACAGAAAGTTCCACCTCTTTCAAGAGAATTTTAGCAGGGGCAGAAAGAGATTATGAACATTGTTGAGTGAAGCCATTTACACCCAGATCGGTGCCACGTTTACCTTTCCAAGTCCTAAAAGTGTTCAGGATAGGGAAGCTGATGCCGAACATCCTTCTGATGGCATAGGAGTGATTTACTTCCTGGTGGGAAAAGCCCTTTAGTGGTCCTCATGAGGGCCACCCTGGAGGAGCCATCTCAGTGTGGCTAGTGGCCTCTTAGCAATCAAGAATGACTTGGAGGTTCCTTTAATATTCTGGCCTTTACAGGAATTGAAAGGGAAGGAGCAGAGTGTTGTGGGAAGAGCCTGTTTTAAGTGATATTCATCGATTCACTGATTCATGGATATTTATTGAACCCCTCCTACTCGAGTTACATGCATGGCCCTCGCCCTTCCTGAGTTCACAGTTTATTGCATGCAGTTAACTACTCAGTAAGCAAGATTGCTGTTCCAGGTGGACAGATGTGCACTTAGCCTTGTTGTAGAACACCTGTCTGCAGGTGTGTACCTCTAGCCCTGTTCTGTATTTTCTAGGGCGCCTTTCTGTGTAGTCCTAATTACATGCCGTTTTTCTGGATAATGATCTAAGGGACTTCCTAGCTTGCTGTGAAAACACAGGTTTGCTAACAACTTAACAACTGTTGTGAAAAAAGAAAAAACTCTGATTGGATATAAATCGAATGTGAAAAATGGTTTCCATTTCCTCCCTCCCGATTCATGTAAATAATTTAAAGTTGATACAATTTGAGATGGTAGCATGAAGTCAGACTACTTTTAAAAATTAAGAGTTATGAATAAAACAAAGGAAAACAGCTCCGTTGCTTTAGAGAAAAGGTCAATAAAATGAAAGTGTGATAAAATGAAATGGAGTACAGTGAAAGTCACTTCCTGCAGCTGCTGCCCGTTCTCCCGATGGCTTTTTGGAATGGGGCAGCAATTCACTCAGCCAGCTTTTCTCACTGCTCAACTGCGTCACGAAGCATGGATGGGAATCAGCTGGGGATCTTGTTAAATGCAGATTCAAATTCAGGGTCCCGTGTGGCCCCTGAGAGGCTGTACTGTTAACAAGCTCTTCCGTGAGGCTGATGCTGCTGGTTGGAGGACCACACTCGAAGTAGCAGGGCTGCACATCCAGGCTTGATGGTTAGGAACAGAGAGGGGCAGAGCCAGGACGCCGTCATAGACCCTGGTGACTGCAAGGGGTCCTAGTTACACTGCAGTCAGTTCTGCCTACAGGTAAACAAGCCACTCCTTTTCCCTTAGACTTTTAACATCTCAATTTAAGAAAGCTACCTAGAGGCCGGGCATGGGGGCTCACGCCTGTAATCCCAGCACTTTGGGAGGCTGAGGCGGGAGGATCACTTGAGCCCAGGAGTTCAAGACCAGCCTGGGCAGCATGGTGACACCCTGTCTATACATTAAACCAAAAAAAAGGCTACCTAGAAAATGTCATTCTTGGCCAGGCACAGTGGCTCACGCCTGTAATCCCAGCACTTTGGGAGGCTGAGGCAGGCGGAACACCTCAGGTCAGGAGTTTGAGATGAGCCTGGCCAACATGGTGAAACCCCATCTCTACTAAAAATACAAAAAATTAGCCGGGAATGGTGGCAGGCGCTTGTAATCCCAGCTACTCGGGAGGCTGAGCCAGGAGACTCGCTTGAACCCAGAAAGTGGTGATTGCAGTGAACCGAGTTGGTGCCATTGCACTCCAGCCTGGGTGACAGAACAAGACCCCGTCTCAAAAGAAAGAAAGAAAATGTCATTCTCATTTTATTCAAAACCTAGCTTCAAGAGAGGTGGTGGATTTAGTATGTCAAGCATTGGGGTAGAACGCAAATCATGTGGAAGGAATTCTGCAGCTTTTTCTTTTCTTAATTTTTTTTTTTTTTTTTTTTTTTTTTGAGATGGAGTCTCGCTCTGTTGCCCAGGCTGGAGTGCAGTGGTGCGATCTCGGCTTACTGCAACATCTGCCTCCTGGGTTCAAGTGATTCTCCTGCCTCAGCCTCCAAGTAGCTGAGACTACAGGTGCGCACCACCACGCCCAGCTAATTTTTGTATTTTTAGTAGAGACAGGATTTCACCATGTTGGCCAGGATGGTCTCCATCTCTTGACTTTGTCATCCACTCGCCTCGGCCTCCCAAAGTGCTGGCATTACAGGCATGAGCCACTGCACCCGGCCGAATTCTGCAGCTTTTTCTAGGTAAATACTTGGTGACTCCGTTCATAACAATAAAAATATTGTATTGCATACTTATTATATGCATAAGAAACTCTCAGTAGGTCTTACCGATGCTGTTTGTGGACTTTGGGCCTGGCTGTCTTTCATCTGCTTTTAGGTCACCTCCAGTCAGACTGCATCGATTTCCGACCCAATGAAAACTGCTTCAGGGAGCAACAGAAATACTGCTGTTGTCCTAGGTCCAGTTTGTACTTCATGTTGAACCACCCTTTTATGCTTTTTCTTTTTAAATGGAGTTCGACTGTTATCAACTATAAAGCTTGCACATTTTTATGAGTTCTGTTCGTGTGATCTTTTAGTATTGTGCAAATGGCATCTTGAATAAGTCTTTTATGAGTGCTCTTTGGGGTTCATTTAAAGAAATAATAGTTGGCTATTGTTGCTCAGAGATGCAGAATGCCTGATTTTCCCATTCTTTTAAAAAAAATTGTTTAATTTTAACAAATGTCTAGGTCTTCCTGAGATCTCTTTTACTACAGTTGACGTAGCAAAAAGCCGTGTTTTTTGCACCATGTCCAGATAGCACAGCAGCCAGCTCTGCCAGCTACCCCTCCCTCTGTGTCTTTTGTCCCTCTGTAGAAAGTGGCTCGGGCACTGCTAAAGCGGTGGAATTCTCCAGTGGCTTTTTAGTAATTTACCTCCCTGGAGATTCTCAGCTGCTTGCAGAATCTCAGAAGACTCTGGAGGATCACTTAAATGGCTATCCTTGTGAGCACTTGCCTTCCTAGTTCACAGGGCTTTGATTTTTGTTCTGTGTCTTTAAATGAATTCAGTGGAGTTGGGTGTGCTGGACCCATACCTCTTGAAACACTCATTTCCACGCCTTCTGTATTAGAAGAGTCACTCAGCCAGATAAGAGCCTGGACATCAGGAGTGGGCTGTAGTCCAGATGGACCTCGGCTTGTTTCTGCTACGGGGCATCTGGATCTCCTGGATGGAATAGCAGGGAAAGGAAGTTGAGAAAAAGGATCTGTGAGTTCTTGCTCAGAGCATTTGAGCTTTCATTCGGGAGCTGTATAATCATTTTCCTGCCTGTGGCTCCATCTCTTCATTTCATACAGATCTTGAGGCCTCTTCCCACCATAAGAACATGCCTGTGGGCTGGGCGTAGTGGCTCACACCTGTAATTCCAGTACTTCAGGAGGCCAGGCGGGAGGATTGCTTAAAGCCAGGAGTTCAAGACCAGCCTGGGCAACATAGGAAGACTCAGTGTCTACAAAAATTAAAAATAAATTAACCAGGCATGGTGATGCGCACCAGTAGTCCCAACTCCTTGGGAAGCTGAGGCAGGAGAATCACTTGAGCCAAGGAGTTGGAGGCTGCAGTGAGCTGAGATCACTGCATTCCAGCCTAGGTGACAAGACAACCCTGTCTCTAAACAAACAAAAAATACCTGTGAAGCAGCCCCGCTTTGATGGGAGAGCCCCTCCACCTGTTCCTTCATTCCATTCATAGACAGAAGCTGCTGTCTATACAATCTTTCCCTTTGCTTAAGGGGAACTCATGCCTTAGCTGTCTGCTGTCTGTCCCTTCCCTATCACATCACAGTAACCCGTTTCTCCAGATCCAGCGGACATTTCTGGGTCTGCTCTCCTTGTACACTGGAGCCTCCGTCACCCCAGGAGTCTGTCCTGCTGTCCACGGCAGGGGCCTCTCTAGGCTTTCCTTATGTGGCTGATCTGTCCTTTCGTAGTCTTCTTTGCACCTTTGCTCTCCTCAGCTTTCTAGAGCCCAGGAACCTGTATGTTTTTTGATGGGCACCCTGCTCTTTGCTTGAGGAAGACGTGGCCTAGGATCCCAGGCCTGACCTCTCTAGAGCATCTCCTTTGCACCAGGGCTTCACTTCCCAGCCCCCTCCTGGATGGATGCCCAAGGCTATCCCCCGTCCAGACCTCCCTCCTGACCACCGGCCTGTGCAGTGGCTGTTGTCTGGATATCCTCACTGATGACATATATCCTCACTCCCCGGCCACCCTGCCTTTATACAGGTCACTCTTCTAGGGTGTTTTTGCTTAATGGAGTCATTTTCACTCTTCCTAAAGCATCAGGTGTTGTCCCCTTTGGGTGTCATCCCCTCTCGTTCTGCCATCCCAGGTCTGTGTGCTTAGCTTTGCTATTTAATCAGAAAATATTTATGGAACGGCACAGTGATCCAAGCCCTGTTCTAGGCACTGAGGGTCCGGACACTTCCCGCCCCAGATTGCAATTGCTGGTGCACATCTTCATGTCTGTCTCTCCTTAGGGCCAGAACTGCCACTCACTCATCTGGTCCTGCGCAGTGTTTTCTGAAAAAGTCAATGTGATCGTACCAATTTCCTTCGTTCTCTTCTCTCCTTAAGTTCTACTGTGTGTCTTCCCCTCACCTCCCACAGAAGCAAAAAATAGGAAGTGGAACTTCATAGTTACAAGATTAAACAGATCAAATTTCATCATCATTTCTGGCTTCTACAGATAGCTGAAGTTTTGTGCGTGTATGACGCAAGGTGTGAGTTGAATGCTTCCTTTGTTCCATCGATTTGCTCAGCTGTGTTTCCTTTCTGCTGTGTCCTTTGTTCAGGGCTGAAGAACTCCGCTCTGAAAAGTAACTGTGAGACGAATATTCTGCCTATTCTTAGGTGGCCCCTATGCCTATGAATATCAAAGCATTTTGTTGGGAAACAAACATGAGATTCGCAAATGTTTTTATCCAGTAATACTGTCATCCTTTTCCACTGAGACAAAGTAACAAAGTCTGAAACACAGGACAACATAGCTAGACAATTTATTTTGGGGCTGTTATCCCTAGGGTTGCCAGTTATAATACAGGACACCAATTGTATTTGCATTTCAGATAAGCAACAAATAAAATTTTAATATAAAGATATTCCAAATTTTGCATGAGACATATTTACACAAAATTATTTGTTTGTCATCTGAAATTTGAATGTACCTGGGCATCCTTTTTTTGTTGTTGGAAACAGTGTTGCTCTGTCACCTAGGCTGGAGTGCAATGGTGCAGTTTTGGTCACTGCAGCCTTGACCTGGGCTCAAGCGATCCTCCCACCTCGTCCTCCCAAGTAGCTGGGACTGGGACTCTAGGAGTGAGCCACCATGTCTGGATAATTTTGTTTATTTTTTGTAGAGACTAAGTCTTGCTATGTTGCCCAGGTTGGTCTCAAACTCCTGGGCTCAAATATAGCCACCCTTATAACTGGTAGAAGACAGTTGCTGGGATTAACAGTTTTTCGCTCTCAATTTTCAATCCTGGTGATGTTTCAGACAGAGAGCCTACTCTTTGGTGGAAGCTCCTGTTTTTGCCAATTTAAATCTCAGCACTTTTAGCAAACTTCTCAACCCTAAACTTTTTAGTAGGATCAGTGAGAAGGCAGTGCTTTTTCATTGCACCTCTTTAAAGATGAAGGTCTGACACTAATTGTCACAAAGTCATACAGTTGCAGAGATGAGATCACAAATGACAACCCAGTCTTCCATCCCTGAGGTTTCTTGCCTGTTATAGAAATGGAAGTTGTCTGATCTTTAAATGTGTTCAGTGTAGTTCAGCAATAATTTATTGAACTTTCCATTTGTTAGGCAGAGCAGGGGAAACAGTGCCCACTTTTGAGACTGTCTTAGGAACAAAAACATTCCTTTTGGGGCCCAAGCCTGGGACATTATCATTACCTGGGAGCATTTTATTTTATTTTGAGAGATGGATCTTGCTCTCTCGTCCAGGCTGGAGGGCCCAGGTTCAGTTCCCAGCCCCCCTCCTGGACGGATGCCCAAGGCTGTCCCCCGTCCAGACCTCTCTCCTGACCACCGGCCTGTGCAGTGGCTGTTGTCTGGATGTCCTCACGGATGACATATATCCTCACTCCTTCGCCACCCTGCCTTTATACAGGTCACTCCTCTAGGGTGCTTTTGCTTAATGGAGTCATTTTCACTCTTCCTAAAGCATCAGGTGTTGTCCCCTTCAGATGTCGTCCTCTCTGGTTCTCCTGTCCCAGGTCTGTGTGCTTAGCTTTGCTATTTAATCAGAAAATATTTATGGAATGGCACAGTGATCCAAGCACTGTTCTAGGCGCTGAGGGTCCAGACACTTCCCGCCCTGGATTGCAATAGCTGGTGCACGTCTTCATGTCTGTCTCTCCTTAGGGCCAGAACTGCCACTCACTCATCTGGTCCTGCAGTGGTGCAATCATAGCTCACTATAGCCTCGAACTCCTGGGCTCAAGCGATCCTCCCACCTCAGCCCCCTGTGTAACTGGAACTACAGGCACATGCTACTGCACTCAGCTAGTTTTTAAATTTTTATTTTTTTTAAGTGATGGGGTCTTGCTGTGTTGTCCAGGCTCTGGGGAGCATTTTAAAGCAACATGATGCCCAGGACTCACCCAAGATTCTAAGCACTTGGTCTGGTGGGCCCTGCCCACAGGTAATTATATCAGGTCTCTTCCAGTGATTGTAGTATTCAGCCAGGCTGGGGACCCACTCGGCTGCAGCCTCTTGTGCTGTCTTGAAATGTTCTCCCAGTGCCAATGTGGGGTGTGCATGGTAAGGACAGAACCTTTGCTCACGGGTTAAACACAGGGCAGGTTTCACCCTGGGCCATGACTCCAAGGTCGGTCTTCCAGATACTTTCAGTAGGGTTCCAAATGATCAAAAATCCATGTAGGCACTGACTGCGTTGTAAAATCACTGATAAATGTGCCTGGAGAGGGTCTGACTTGCCTTCTAGAGTGTCTCAAATCTGAATTAAAATTCATGTCTATTTTCTCTTTGTCACTAGTCTTTTGTGCTGTGCAGTTTGTTGATGTAACTTTGGTGGTGGTGACCTGGGCTAGTGAAAATGATGCATGTGAAATTGAATCCAATTAGGTATAAGCACCGGCTGACAGAAGCCTGTTGCAGCAACACCCGTTATGTGTTTTTTTGAGACAGAGCCTCTGTTTGAGACAGAGGCTCGCTCTGTCGCCCAGGCTGGAGTGCAGTGGTGCAATCTTGGCTCATTTCAACCTCTGCCTCCCAGGTTCAAGCAATCCTTCCTCCTCAGCCTCCCAAGTAGCTGAGACTACAGGAGCGCTACCACACCCAGCTAATTTTTTTATTTTTAGTAGAGACAGGGTTTCGCCATATTGGCCAGGCTGGTCTCGAACTCCTGACTGCAAGCGATCTGCCTGCCTTGGCTTCCCAAAGTGCTGGGATTACAGGCGTGAGCCACCACACCTGGCCAGCAACACCTGTTAACAGTTACACAACAACTGGTAGCACTAGGCTGCTAATGAGACCCTCTCCCAGTGAAGGTGTGCCACCCAATTAGGTTAACAAATCCGTCCTGTTGATAAAAGTTGAGAAACGACTCTCAGGATGGCTTGCCCGTAGATTGCTTAGGGTTTGTAGCCCCAATTTCATGATGTCAATCAAAGTAGCATAAAGACCTTCTGCATCCAGGTCCTGGGTTGCTAGTTAAAGATGTGGATTCCTGGGTCCTGCTGCAGAACTAGTGGATCAGGAGCTCTGGAATCCAGTAATAAACTCTGGGATTCTGATGCTGGGATCAAGGGTTATCTGAGCAGCATTCAGGCCATGGCAGACTGCCGTCGTAGCCCTGTGTTTGCCCGGGGTCAGATAGGGAAGGAAGTCGACCTTCATGAGCAAATGAACATGCAAGCTGCGAGTCTCCCTCTGTCTAGGCAGTGATGTCCCACCTCTTTGTCTTTTCAGAAGGGTCCCTTTTCTGTCGTGATGTGTCAGGGTATATTAAGAGCATCCTCAGAAGTCCCAGGTTTCCCTGCAGGCTTATCTCCAGCTCTGCATACTCTCTGATAACTTTGGCACAGCTGGTCTTGTTCCTGTGCTGGGATGGTATCACTTTTCCCTCTCTGATACTTTCTTCCTGTTGCTTTGAAGGCAGATTGAATTAATTAATTTGTTTTTACCATGAGCAAAGTCTTCCACATTAAACTCTTAAATAATTCCATGGATCCGATCAGAAATCTTCTTTAATGCATAGTAGAGCTAAGCATACAACAGTGGCTATTGCCAGCAATTGCGGGGAGGAAAAAAACTCTCGAATAACGTTTTAAAGATGTATATTACGAAACCTCTATTTTATACTTTGCTCATTTGGATTTTGTAGTGATTTAGACAGAGAGCGGCTTCTAAAGCATACCCTTCAGTCCATTGAAAATAAGATTTGTTGTACAAATTAGTATAAACCAGCAGTTCTCAAATATGACTTTTTGTAAGCTAAGCAGAGGTGTTTTGTTACTAAAAATGGAATTTAGGGGGAGCTGTCCCAATTTGTCCTGGGAAACATTACAGTTTAAAGCTTTTGTCTCCTATACAGGTTTCTAGTCCATGGTGCGTGTCCTACTAGACCGTCCAAATAAATTCTATCCAACCCTAAATTGTAAACGTCTTTATGTTTGATGTCAGTGCACGTCTCACTATCACTTGTAGGTGTGCTGCCACTTAAAAAGCTTGAGACGTACTGGCATAGACAAGATTGCAAATTTGAAAGCATTAGACTATTCTGGGAGGGGCCTTTTTGACCATGAAATGTTGATGTCGTCCTGCATTAAAGCCCATGCCCTCCCCACCCTCCATCTCACACCCTTGTTGGTGTAGCCCATCATCTCAATTGTCAAACTCCTGAGTGACATTCTTTCCCCTGGGCTCACAGAGCACACTGGATAGCTTCTGCATGTCACCTCTCTCATGTTATTGGGAGGTGCCCTTTGCTGCTGTGCTCTCAGTATCCAAATACACTCACTATCAAGACCTGCAGAATTGTTTACTCCAAACCACTCCTCAGACTGAAAACCCATTTATTGCATGCGTCCAAGTATGCACAACTCCAGGAGGGAGGTTGTGGAGTGGGCTGCGAATAGCCACCTTCCTCCTAACAGGATGCCAGCTCACAGTGCGTGAAGGTGTCACACATGGGATCCATGGCTGCATGGAGGTGGGGATTTAGGATGAAGGAGAGGCACTAATACAGACAGTTGGGCCTTTGACATAGTGAGTTCAGCATTTGCAGTTTGAACTCAAAGTTCCACAATGCACTGTACTTTATAAGTTTATTGAGGCAGAAATTTCAATATAGTGGGACATGATACCAGTGTGTGAGCAAAGCCTTTTAGGCAGAGGGAGGCCTGTGACTCTCCTGCATCCCATCAACAGGCCCATGTCATCCCCAGCCTTGGTGTATCTGCCACGCACATGTACAAGCAACAACAAAATCCCTTCATCCCTCTTCCTAAAAATTAACTGTGGATAGCCATGAGTCCATACACATAGAAATAAATGACTCATATCCCCATTTACTGATGGGGAGCAGAGACAGTCTCCTACACAGAAGAATTCCAAGTAATGTATGTCTGTACTCTGCCCTTAAGAAGGGGAGTGTTGTGGTTTGGCTGTGCCCCCGCCTACCCAATTCTCATCTTGAATTGTAGCTTCCATAATTCCCACATGTTGTGGGAGGGACCCAGTGGGAGATAATTGAATGATGGGGGCTTTTCCCCCATGCTGTTCTCATGATAGTGCATAAGTCTCACGAGATCTGATGGTTTTATAAGGAGAAACCCCTTTTGCTCAGCTCTCATTCTCTCTTGTCTGCCACCATGTAAGACGTGACTTTCATCTTCTGCTATGATTGTGAGGCCTCCCGAGCCACACGGAACTGTGAGTCCATTAAGCCTCTTTTTCTTTATAAATTACCCAGTCTCGGGTATGTCTTTATCAGCAGCGTGAAGGCAGACGAATACAGGGAGCATAAGTCTTCCCCCATTAAGTGTAGCCTTCCTGACAAAGGTGGGAAGGGAAAGGGGTTGGGTGTAGGAGGAGTAACTAAGCCTGATGAACACTGCCCCAGCCAGATGATCAAGCTCAAGAGCAGCAGCAGTGAATACTGTGGATAGTAGGACCCTAGATATGATGTCATGAGAATGACACTTCACTGCCATGGTCTTCCATTCTGTCATGATGTCAAATCATAAACAAAACATCAGAAAAAGGCCCACATTGAGGGAATCCTGCAAACTACCTGAGCAGCGCTCTTCAGGACTACCATGGTCATCAAAAGCAAGGACAGTCTGAGAAACTGTCATAGCCAAGAGGAGCTAAGGCGCTGTAATGACTAAATGTGATGCGGTACTCAGAAAGGACCCTGGAACAGAAAATGAAAATTAGGGGAAAAAAGCTAAGGAAATCTGAATGAAGTATAGCTCGAGTTAATAATAATACATCCATATTGGTTCACTAATTGCAACTAATATTAATAACCAGAAACTGGGTGAGAGATACATAGGAATTCTCAGTGTTGTCTCTGCAGTTTTTTTGTAAATCAAAAATTATTCTATATTTGAAAGTTTATTAAAAAATAAAATATCTGCCAGGTGTGGATATTTTAAAATTGAGTCATTTACGAGCTTAAAAAACTTAACCTTAGCAGCTGCCCTCAAAACTGTAATCCAGGGCTGGGTGCGGTGGCTCATGCCTATAATCCCAACACTTCGGGAGGCCAAGGCGGGTGGATCACTTGAGGTCAGGAGTTCAAGACCAGCCTGGCCAACATGGCGAAACCCCAGAGTACTAAAAACAAAAAATTAGCTAGGCGTGGTGGCGCATGCCTGTGATCCCAGCTACTTGGGAGGCTGAGGCAGGAGAATCACTTGAACCTGGGAGGTGGAGGTTGCAGGATGCCAAGATCACGCTACTGCATTCCAGCCTGGGTGACAGAGAGACTGTCTCAAAAAATAAAATAAAATATCCCATTGCAGAGACATCACTACACACAAACAAAAAAATCCCAAGAAGAAAGCTAACTGTCGGTGCTGGGGTGGAAATGAAGAGGTTTTAAATGTGTTGCTTGTTAGCTAAAAATACAAGTTTAATAGGATTGAATTTTGGGTCTCTTAATACTATGAGACTATATTCCTCACAAATGTCCTGGGTCTCCTTTTATTTCAGGTAAAATTGATATAAAATACTAGGTCTGTATCATGAATTTATTTATCAGCATTAAGTAAAATACAGGTAAAAGTTGTCAAAACAAATCATTAGCCACAACTGCAGAAGCAAAAGAAGGAATGTAAACTAATGACTTTGCTAATTGCTGTTTCCTTTATTAATTGGTATTCATTTTTTAGTTTGATAGGCACATAATGTATATTGTTTATTTTTATACTGTTGGGAAAGAGCATACAAATAAGTGACTTTTCTCAACTCTTCCCGGTTTGATTTAGAACAAGATTAAATTCTGCTAGTGTTTTGAGAGACACCAGTGTTAAGATTATAGAACTATTAAATTTCCCCTGTACTAAATTTATGTTTGAATATGTAAAATCCTGGTGAAAACTTTGTTTCTGTAGCTCTAAAACTTTGAGCAGATCATCCTTGTCTGGATCAGACCTCAGGTTTCCAAAGTGAAAGGCGTTTAATTGGGCCATTTGTAGTATGCTTGCTAAGAAGAATTCTTTGTTTTTTAAATAGGAATTTATTTATTTGGCACTGTGATTATTGAGCCATAACAGTCTTGATAAAGGGTTTTTTTTGTTTTTTTTAAGATGGAGTCTCGCTCTGTCACCCAGGCTGGAGTACAGTGGCACGATCTTGGCTCACTGCAGCCTCTGCCTCCCAGGTTCAAGTGATTCTCCTGCCTCAGCCTCCCTAGTAGCTGGGACTACAGGCATGCACCACCACGCCCAGCTAACTTTTGTATTTTTTTAGTAGAGTCGGGGTTTTACCGCGTTGGCCAGGCTGTTCTCAAATTCCCGATCTCAAGTGATCCGCTCGCCTCTGCCTCTCAAAGTGCTGGGATTGCAGGCGTAAGCCACCGCGCCAACCCCTACTGCTTATTAAAGCGCTGGGATTGCAGGCGTGAGCCACCGCGCCCAGCCCCTACTGCTTATTAAAGCGCTGGGATTACACGTGTGAGCCACCACACCCGGCCCCTACTGCTTATTAAAGTGCTGGGATTACAGGCGTGAGTCACGGCACCCGGCCCCTACTGCTTATTAAAGTGCTGGGATTACAGGCGGGAGCCACCGCACCCGGCCCCTACTGCTTATTAAAGTGCTGGTTTTGCCCCCTATTTCCAACGGCCTTTGATGTATTGAAACTAAAGATACTCTTTCTATCTTTTCAGCTTAAGCCACCAAAAAGATGAAATGAACTATAATTTAGGAATACCAGGACAATTTCAGGTTCTAATATTAAAGTATAGATCAAAGACCATTTGCATATATTTCTTTTTTAGGGATTTATCCTCTAATTGTTCCAACTCTGGCTCTTTGAAACACAGACCTGAATTATTTTGTATAAAGGTGATAGCAGCCAGGTTCGGTGGCTCACACATGTAATCCTGACACTTTGGGAGGCCACGGCAGGAGGATTGCTTGTGTCCAGGAGTTCAAGGCCATTCTGGGCAACATAGTGAGATACCACCTCTACCAAAAAAAAAAAAAAAATAGCCAACTGTAGTCCTAGCTACTTGGGAGGCTGAGGTGGGAGGATCACTTGAGCCCAAGAGATCGAGGCTGCAGTAAGTTGTGATCACACCACTGTACTCAGCCGGGCAGCAGGGCAAGAGCCTGTCTCAAAAAAAAAAGAAAGAAAGAAAATTCATGGTACACAGTGATCCTGAGTCCTTGAGTTTAAGAACTTATTATCAAAACAGTTGTAGGTGGCCCCATATTCATTTAGTCACTGCAATCATTGTATCCTTGGGGAGGGAAGTCTCTTATGTTAGTTCTGTGAGAAAACATGTTAGTTCTGTCAGTGTACTAATACTTTACACTTAATTGACATTTTATTAACTAAAACCATATTTCCATGGAACTGAAAATAATAGTTGGCATGTACAGTATTTCCTTGGTTCTAAGGAAGCATTTCTGGCCAGACACAACCACATCATAAGTCCGTGTGGATTATAAAACATATCCCCATTTCAGAAATATTAATATGAAATAGAAAAGTTACATCTTAAAATTGAAAAAGTACATGGGACACAGATTTTTGCAGCCCCGAGAAAATGTTACTGTGTGTGGTTTTGTGCTCTTACAAACACCACAGCCCCGTATGTTGACAACCACTGGTTTTAGAGTATGACATCACAGCTTTTTCCATTTCACATGTAGAGGGCAAATATATTGTATATGATAAAACTGCCCTATTTGGTCCTTTTAAAAAAAAAAAAATCTGGGTCTTTTTCAGCCCAGTTATGCCTTAGGAGGAACGTGTGCATAATACCACAAGCCCCATCAACCTGGGGGTGGCAGATGCCATACAGATGGTGGCTTTCCATCCTGGTATGACTCTAGGTTTCTCTGTCCCTAAACTCTATTTCTGAGGGTACCATGCTCTGAGGAACATCTTTTTCATTATTATTCTCTTCTCTCTCAGAATACAACATTGTTGACTTGTGTATAAATCAAACATTTCACAGTTGTCACTCATAAGGACCTCTGACACCACATGCTGTATTAAGTTCCTGATTATTGGGTTAAAAAAAAATCTGAGGTCACTTGCAGGGATTAAAAGAATTCTTTGCAAGGTAAATAATGAAAGCTTAGACAAGTCAGAAACTTGACTCTAGGTAGAAGATAAAAATGAGCCTCATCTTTATTATCAATCTTAAGGATGTATTCCTACTTCCTCTTTCCCTTTTTAATCTGTATTAGAAAAAAAGCAGGGCATCAGTATACACACATTTTTACTCCATTTTCATGGAAACAAAGATAAAGTGTGATTGTACACACTGTTTGCCTCTGCTGAAAAGTGAACCTAACGCACAAAGAATGTGTTCTGGAGTCTAGCCTGAAAATGAAGAAGGCTGAAAGTCCCCTGTCACTTTCAGGCTGTGAATCAAACAAGTTCAGCATCTTTATTTGTCAAATCTCGACATTATTGCTAAATAGAAGCACACTATTTGTAAAATGTTTCATTGCTGTTTAAAATTTAATAATCTCCCTTGGCCCATGTTTTGTTTTTCTTCTATTTGAAAATCCTGATAAGGCAGTTTCGGATTGTGGTTATTTAATACCAGAAAACCTTTTCTTTTGTGCACACTTATTAAACAGATTTTTGAAAGCAGCATTTGTTCATGTAAGTTTATTAAATTATATTTCTTCTTACAAAGTAATGAGAACACTGTTAAAATGAGGTAACTTGTTTGAGTGTGTGTGTTGACTTCTTATCACAGTGTTTAAATCTGTTTTTGTGAATTTTTTTGGGTTTGTTTGTTTGTTTGTCGTTTGTTTTGTTTTGTTTGAGACAGGGTCTCACTCTGTCGCCCAGGCTGGAATGCAGTGGCATGATCTCTGCTCACTGCAAATTCCACCTCCTGGGCTCAAGCAATCCTCCTGCCTCAGCCTCCCAAGTAGCTGAGACTACATAGGTAAGCGCCACCATGCATGGCTGATTTTTGTATATTTTGTAGAGATGGGGTTTCACCCTGTTGCCCAGGCTGGTCTCAAACTCCTGGACCCAAGTGATCTGCCCACTTTGGCCTCCCAAAGTGCTAGGATTGCAGGCGTGAGCCACTGCACTGGGCCTTTATGTGTATCTTGAATCGGGATTTTGTAGAATTTCTGTTGCAACTTGGAAGGCACTTTGGGAAGCCACGCTCATGAACTGCATGTTCTGAACTCATACAACCTTCAAGAAACATTTCTGTAGCATAAAGTGTATTCAGCTACTGTCTCCAGTGGCAGGCAGTACATTCCAAACCATTTTGGAGACTCAAGATAGTATAGTAGAAACAGCTTTGAACCTGCCTTAGAAGATCTGGGGTTTCACAGTTCCCATCGGTGTATTGAAATCTCTGAGAGGTGCCACCTCCAAGAAAAGGATCTTTGTTTAACTCAGGGTCCCTCAGATGTGTTTGTACACCCTTTCCCCCTGCTCTAGGAGCTATTGATGTCCTATGAAGGCAGTTTGGGAAACCCATGTTGAGGATTGGAAATCTTTCTTTTGTTTGGCTTCTTTCAATATAGCGTGAATGTTCTGCAAGCACATGTTGAGTTGGGTTAATTTTAGTTAACCATTCCTGCAGATTATAAACAAAAGTAAGGTTAATAACTTTAGCGGTTAACCACCAAATGTTTCATTCATTGAAGTTTTTGTAAATCATTTACCCTCAGATCTCCTGATTCCCAGAGCAGCAGTGATGCTGGAGTATTTCCCAGCCAGTAAATGGCATGCAAGGAGATGATGGTATCTCCTCTTTCATCCCAGAGCCAAGGTCAAAAACCCAAGGTTAGAGGATGTTTTCTGTTTTTCTATTTCTCATTTGAAAGGGGAATGGGGGCTAGAGAAAAGGGTAATGGCAGTTAAATCACTCCTCAAGGGGATATGTAAAGAGAAGTCCTAGTCTTAGGCCAGAATAATGAAGCCATGACATCTGGGCGAGTTCATTTGCATGTCCATGTTTAGGGCTGGGAATACGCTGGAGAGTCAGGCGCTGTGGATCTGGGAGGAGGCACTCCCCAAGGGAAGGGGCTTTGGAGATTCAGGAGGTAACAGTGAAAGCCTGGCCTAGTGATTCTGGAAGGAAGGCTGATATTGAGACCATGAGCTCTGAAACGACCCCAAAAGGAGCAGGGAAAAGACGGCCAGTATAGGTGGAGGAGCCAATGGAAATAGTTTTTTTTTTTAGTATTCTTTTCTTTTTTTCTCTTTGAGACACGGTCTCACTCTGTCACCCAGGCTAGAGTGCAGTGGCACAATCACTACACTGCAACCTCTGCCTCCCAGCCTCAAGCAATCTTCCCATGACAGTCCCCTGAGTAGCTGGGACTGATGACAGGCCTATGCCACCACACCCAGCTATATTTTTTAGATTTTTTTGTAAAGTTGGGGGTCTCATTATGTTGGCCAGGCTGGTCTTGAACTCCTGGCCTCAAGCAACCTCCCGACTCAGCCTCCCAAAGTGCTGGGATTACAGGTGTGAGCCACCATGTCCAGCCAGAAAGAGTTGTTTTTGGTTGATTGGTTGTCTATTTGTTTGTTTTTTGAGATGGAATCTCACTCTGTCACCCAGGCTGGAGTGCAATGGCGTGATCTCAGCTCACTGCACCCTCCGCCTCCTGGGTTCAGGCAATTCTCCTGTCCTAGCCTCCCAGGTAACTGGGATTACAGGCACACGCCACCACGCCCAGCTAATTTTTGCATTTTTAGTAGAGATGGGGTTTCACCATCACCATATTGGTCAGGCTGGTCTCGAACTCCTGACCTCAGGTGATCCACCCGCCTCGGCCTCCCAAAGTACTGGGATTACAGGCGTGAGCCACAGCACCCAGCCCAGAAAGAGTTTTTAAAGCAGCCCCAGTTCCCAGGACCCAAACGCTAGAAGCCCAGAAGGAAAATGTTGAGTGGACTCTGAAGGGAGCTGAGAATGGGGTCTCAGGACTGTAAGGAGAGTAGCTGTGGACTTCCAGGAGGAGGTTTAAAGGGCAAGCCATTCCTCCTGTCTCATGGGGTTGATGGGGCTGGTGATGGTAAAGGGAAGAGTTGCACTATAGGAGGTATTTGGTGTGCAGGCTCTCTGGTGGGCTCTGTGTTGAGGATGTCTGGGGGAATGACATCGCTTTGCTTGAACACCCTTTAATAGATTATATTCACTCTTCATTATCATAAATACCATTAGATTGCCCAGGGATTCCGAGCTCTTCCTTCCTCGCCATTCTCAGACAGATTCACTGAAATGCTTTCCTCATAGAATACCCATTTCTCAGTTCAATTCTGGAAGAGGATCTGGATGAGAGAAAAAAGGGAGATCACTGTAGGTAATGGAACAGAACAGTTGCATTGCCTGAGGCCCACTGTAGTCAGTGCAATGAGTCTCTGCAACCTGCTTTCTAAGAGAAATGCTACATGTATGCATAAATTCATGACACTCATCATTACAGGTTGGCAAACTCTATCATATGAAGGCCTTTTATTTCTATCGTTGCTTCCATGTATTGATTGGAAAAGCATTGATGGATATGACAAGAGAAAGCATTGCCAAGCAGCGCCCCAGAACCTGTCCCTTTATGGAAGAATGTAGCCCCCATACTGTTGGTGCCCATGCAGCATTGAGAAGTATAGAAAGTCACTGGCTTAAAAAAATAAAACAGAACCATTGGGCATTTCTCAAAGTCCAAGTAAACCAAATGTTCCGTCTCATGTTCTAGAAAGGAAAATACTGGATTGCTTCTTGGTTAATGTTGCTTAAAAGGTGAGCATAAAATACAAGTGCTTTAAAATGCAAGTCCTGGCCTGGCGTGGTGGCTCACTCCTGTAATCCTAGCACTCTGGGAGGCAGAGGCAGGCAGATTGTCTGAGTTCAGGAGTTCGAGACCAACCTGGGCAACATGTTGCAAAACCCCATCTCTACTAAAAATACAAAAAATTAGCTGGGCATGGTGGTGCCCACCTGTAATCCCAGCTACTACCTGGGAGGCTGAGGCACGAGAATTGCCTGAACCTGGGAGGCAGAGGTTGCAGTGAGCCAAGATCGCGCCATTGCACTCCAGCCTGGGTAACAGAGCAAGACTCTGTCTAAAAAACGAAATGCAAGGCCTAAATTTCAGGTGCTCTAGATAATACCTCAGGTCTTGAATCTTAATTGTTTCATATATATATATATATGTATACACACACATATATATACACACATATATATACACACATATATATACACACATATATATACCCACATATATACATATATACACACACACATCTATACATATATATACCCACATATATATATACATACACACACACACACACATATATATAAAACATCAGTCCTGTAATTGGCCTGTGTTTGTCTTTTGGGTGTGCAGTATTCCAGGCACTCCCTAAAGCTTTGGACCCTCAGGGATAAGGAGTGGCTGCTGGAACCAGGAGTATGATGAAAGAGTATTTCTAGAGCTAAGTTTTAATGTTCTGATATTGGTGGTTACATTTTTTAGATTGTCCAGAATGCCTGTTTCTCAATCTTCTGCCCTTGTATAAGGTCTCAGAAACACGCCTTTGGTGTCCAGCACAAGCCTGCTGTGCCCATCTGTGTTCATAGGTGGGAGATACTTCCAGAACTGTCCAGGAGAGGCCAGGTAGTATGGTAAAACGTCTTTTGAAATTCAGTTAGAAGACCGGGGTCTTCCAACTTCTGACTCCTCTAACTTTTGAGTCCTGTGACTTTGAGGAAAGTATTCAACTTTTCTAGGCCGCAGCTTCTTCGTTTGCAGTTGCCTGGTGACGCCTCCCCTCCACAGGGATGTTGCTAGGTTTCAGGGGAGTCATATATGCATGCATGTGTGTGAAAACATGCTGTAGGCCGGGTGCGGTGGCTCACACCTGTAATCCCAGCGCTTTGGGAGGCCAAGGCAGTGGATCACTTGAGGTCAGGAGTTTGAGACCAGCCTGGCCAACATAGTGAAACCCTGTTTCTACCAAAAATACAAAAATTAGCCAGGCGTGGTGGCGTGCGCCTGTAATCCCAGCTACTTGGGAGACTGAGGCAGGAGAATTGCTTGAACCCAGGAGGCAGAGGTTGCAGTGAGCCGAGATCATGCCACTACACTCCAGCCTGGGCAATGCAGTGAGGACTCCATCTCAAAAAAAAAATAAAATAAAAAATTAGCCAGGTGTGGTGGCACATGACTTTAATCCCAGCTACTCGGGAGGCTGAGGCAGGAGAATTGCTCAAACCTGGGAGGTGGAGGTTACAGTGAGCCAAGATTGTGCCACTGCACTCCAGCCTGGGTGACAGAGTGAGGCTCCATCTCAAAAAAAAAAAAAAAAAAAAAAGAAGAAGAAGAAAAAAATATGCTTCAGAGGCTTCAAAACTGCCTGGGTGTTCAGGAGTGCTTTTTAGGCCATAGTAGAAAAGGTGAGTAAGAGGCTGCCTGTGGGTAACATTTACGTTTGTGTCAGAAATAAACTGAACAGCTTTCAATTGGTTGCACAACACTTATTATTAGGGCAATCTTATTAATAAAGGCCGAAAGAAGTTCTGTGCTAATCTATGAAATCTGAGTATCTGTCATCTCTCTGCCCTTGACTGTCACATCTGCTTTTTCTCTTCTACTTGCATTTACCTATTCCATGACTCCCAAAGAAATGCATTTGTTTACCTTTAAAAATATGAGAGGATCATGATTTTGACACTGTGGTAAAATAATTCAGAAAAAGTCTTGGTCTGTTGCCCAGGCTGGGGTGCAGTGGTGCAATCTTGGCTCACTGCAACCTCCACCTGCCGGGTTCAGGCGATTCTCCTGCTTCTTCCCTAGTAGCTGGGATTACAGGCGTGCACCACCATGCCAGGCTAATTTTTGTATTTTTAGTAGAGATGGAGTTTCACTATGTAGGCCAGGCTGATCTCGAACTCCTGACTTCAAGTGATCCACCTGCCTCAGTCTCCCAAAGTGCTGGGATTACAGGTGTGAGCCACCACGCCCAGCCCTCACAGGGAAAATGTTTACCAGGAGAATTAAACTTATAATATTCAGTGATTTGCAGTGCCATACTATGCAAGAAAGTGCTTATCTTAAATGCATTCCACAAAAGTCCTCTTTAAGTTTACCAGAAACAACTTAAAAGTGGCTTAAACAGTAAAGGGAGCATTGCTTTATGAGACTAAAAAGCCAAAGGTAGTGTGCGGGCCTGAGACAAAGCTTGGCAGGGCTTAGCAGTGTCACTGAAGGTTCCAGTTTCTTTCTGTCTACTTAGTTCTCAAATGGTATCAATTTTATTCTAAGGCAGACTCCCCTTGTGATCTGAAAATGACTTCCCGTAGCTTCTTAGGGCCATATGTATCCCTGTCCCCAGCATTCCCTGAAAAGCTGTGTTACTTGTTCTTATTGAGTCAGCTCATCCTTTTTTTTTTTTTTTTTTAAGTGAGATGGTATTGCCCTGCTGTCCAGGCTGGAGTGCAGTGGCATGATCACGTTTCACTGCAGCTTCAACTTCCTGGGCTCATGGGATCCTCCTACCTCATTCTCCTGAGTAGCTGGGACTCCAGATGTGCACAGGTGTGCCTGGCTAATTTTCACCATGTTACCCAGGCTGGTCTCAAACTCCTGGGCACTCAAGCAGTCCTCCTGCCTTGGCCTCACAAAGTGCTGGGATTACAATTGTGCGCCACCAAGCCTGGCGTGGCCCAGCTCATTCTGAATTGAATTTCACCTCTGGAGCCGATAGAACCACAAGTGGAAATTGGTGACTAGGCCAACAGTGGTTTCCCTGCAGCCTACATCTGTTGCATCCGGCTGGTTGGTCAGCACTCTTATTTATAAGCTCTCAGTTTGTAGTTCAAGTTAGTATACCTCCTTTAAACATACACATGAATATCTACTAAAAATATGCAGTACTTGGCTGTTCACATAGTTCTTTAATATTTTGATTCTCAACCTTCTTCCCGACATCACCACATCTGAGGGCGTCCTCCCACCTGTCACCGTGTCAGCAGCAGTGACCCACTGCCCGGTGGCTTCAGCAGTGCTGTTTATGTGCGGCGTGACTGAAAGTGGATTACTTAACCGCTGAGCCACAGGTTCTTGGTGTAACTTTCCCTCTTTACAGAGTTGTTTTGCATGTTTGCCAGGATGACATATCTGTCAAAAGAAGCCCAATGAGGGACCCGAGGTTTCTGATGTCCATACTGATAGTGAGAGGCAGGATGAAGGCTGGCCAAATCTGGTGGTGCCCTGGGGATACCTGTATTTGGTGGGGCCTAAAACTTGAGGTAAGGATGGTTGCCAGGGCCTGGGCTGTGTGAACATGAGGTTGCCAGATCCCCAAGGCTAGACAATTGGACCCAAAAATAGGTGAGGAAATCAAGGAAGCTGATGAAAGAAGAGTAGTGATGTCAACCAAGTAGAAGCAGCCAGATGCCTGCACTACTGCAGCTCAGGAAAACCCGAGCTTGAGCTAATGCTGTTGCCTGAGCAGAGCAAGTTACCGAAACAGCATATTGCCCCCACAGTTCTCCAGGTATCCGCGTCGCTCTGTATCCAGGGTTAAACTACAAGGCATCTTGTTCAAAATAGCTCAGTTCCTGATTTAAAACAACAACAGGCCAGGCGCCGTGGTTCATGCCTGTAATCCCAGCACCTTTGGGAGGCCGAGGCGGGTGGATCACCTGACGTCAGGAGTCCAAGACCAGCCTTCCCAACATGGTGAAACCCCGTCTCTACTAAAAATACAAAAAATTAGCTGGGCTTGGTGGTGGGCGCCTGTGATCCCAGCTACTGGAGAGGCTGAGGCAGGAGAATCTCTTGAACCCAGGAGGTGGAGGTTGCAGTGAGCTGAGATCGCACCATTGCACTCCAGCCTGGGCGACAAGAGCGAAACTCCATCTCGGAAAAAATTTTAAAAAACAGTCATTTAATATTTATCTTTAGAAAGGTTTTTTTTTTTTTTGGTTTGTTTTTTGGGTTTTTTTGAAGGCTGCAAAAGTACCTGGTGGATTTAAGCAATGGCAACATCATTATTTCTGTCTACAGTGTTCTGAGGCAAGTTTTCGGACTGAGAGTTTTAGACCGAGATTACTAATTAGGTAATCTCTGATTTTTTTTTTTTTTTACTTTTATTTTAGGTGCAGGGGATACATGTACAGGTTTGTGATATGGGTAAATTGTGTGTCACGGGGGTGGTAGGGTTTAGTGTGCAGATAATTTTGTCACCCAGGTAATAGGCATAGTACCAAATACATAGTTTTTCCATTCTCTCCTTCCTGCCAACCTGCACCCTCAAGTAGGCCCATGTGTCTGTTATTTCCTTCTTTATGTCCATGTGTTCTCAATGTTTAGCTTATATTTATGAGTGAGAACATGTGGCATTTATCATATTCCTTATTTATTTATTTATTTAGAGACAGAGTCTTGTTTTGTCTCCCAGGCTAGACTGCAGTGGTGCAATCACGGCTCACTGCAGCCTTGACCTCCTGGTCTCAGGTGATCCTCCTGCCTCAGCCTCCTGAGTAGCTGGGATTATAGGCACGTGCTAGCACGCCCAGCTAATTTCTATGTTTTTTTGTAGAGATGGGGTTTCACCCTGTTGCCCACACTGGTCTTGAACTACTGGGCTCAAGCGATCTGCCTGCCTTGGCCTCCCAAAGTGCTGAGATAACGGACGTGAGCCACCGTGCCCAGTCATATTTGTGACATTCTTATAGAAATAATAATAGTCAGTAGCATCTAGTGAGCGCTGAGCACATGCCAGGCACAGTTTTCAGCATTGACTGGTTTATTCCCCTAATAATCTATGAGGTGAGTGGCCTAGGGGGTAGGCAGCTTGCTCTTGCTCAAGCTTACACAGCTGATAATGGGTAGAGCTGGGATTGGATTTGAACCCAGGTAGTCTGACTCCAGAGCTGTTGGCCACCATACTATCATGCCTCCTAGGGATTTCATCTTGGTTAATTTTTTTAAGGGAATGCTTGATCTAAAACTTACAGCTCACATTAATTTTTGATCAGTACTTGAGGGAGGAAAGAGATGGTTGGCTATTTGTGTACATTCATTGCCACATTTTGGTGATGAAAAACCACAACATGTGGCTGTGTCCTCCTGACCAACAAAAACAAGAATTGTAGCCGGAGTGTCGTGGGCCACGCCTGTAATCCCAGCCCTTTAGGAAGCCAGGGTGGGTGGATCACTTGAGGTCAGGAGTTCAAAACCAGCCTGGCTAACATGCCAAAACCCTGTCTCTACTAAAAATACAAAAATTAGCTGGGTATGATGGCAGGCACCTGTAATCCCAGCTACCTGGGAGGCTGAGGGAGCAGAATCGCTTGAACCTGGGGGACAGAGGCTGCAGTGAGCCAAGATCATGCCACTGCACTCCATCCTGGGTAACAGAGTGAGACTCCATCTTAAAAAACAAACAACAAGAATTGTAAGAAACCTAGCTGGGTGTGGTGGCTCACACTTGTAATCCCAGCACTTTGGGAGGCCGAGGCAGGTGGATCACCTGAGGTCAGGAGTTCGAGACCGCCTGACCAACATGGCAAAACCCCATCTCTACTAAAAATACAGAAATTAGCCGGGAGTAGTGGCTCACACCTGTATTCCCAGCTACCTGGGAGGCTGAGACAGGAGAATCGCTTGAACCCAGGAGGTGGAGGTTGCAGTAAGCCAGGAGCATGCCACTGCACTCCAGCCTGGATGACAGAGCGAGATGCCGTCTCAAAACAAAAAAAAAAGAATTGTGGGATTGTGGGAAACTCTTCCTCTCACCAAAGGCAGCCGTTTGAGACTAATTTTTAATTACTTCCTGAGCCTACTTCACCAAACGATCTATGAGTGAAATGACTGAGTGAAATGATGGGTTACAGGGGAGGCAGAGAACATAAGTCCTCTGGTGACTCTTGAGTTATTAATGGAACATAAAATAGAAGAATCTAAACTTTCCCAACAGATAAATTAGGGAGTAATTAGCTGCAGAGGAAAATGATTATATTTCTTTTGCTGAACAGTTCGTGATGGATTTCCTAATCTTGAACCTCCTTGGGGTATTTACAATGTGATTTGATGTAGCGATGTTTAATCTGTACTGGGTTGAAGTCAGTCAGAAATGTGGTTTACAAGTAAGAGTCTGAATTGTTTAAAATGAATGCGAGAGGACAGGATGATGGACTTGGCAGAGCCCTTTCTTTTTACTTCCTATGACTCATCTTCACCCAGGTCGGAGTGAAACAGCACTTCCCTACCGCATTCACACTCAATGTCCCGTCATTCACTTCCTGGTCCAATTGGACGTGGAAGCCAAGCACGACCGTGGGCGAAGATGAGCGTGTAACATGGAGATAAGACAAATGGGATGTCCATGCCAGGATTTAGCCAATATCAAAGCTTGATTCTACTCCGTGGGGCCCATGGAACGCAGTAAGCTTTCAGGAAGTGAGTTCCAGCATAATGGAAAGCCCCTGACATAAGCTAGAAGTATCTGGGGTCCACAGAAAGGCCTGGAAAAGAAGCAAAGAAAAGATGGAGTTTTTTTGTTTTGTTTTTTAGAGATGGAGTATCACTCTGTCGCTCAAGCTGGAGTACGGTGGCTCCATCGTAGCTCACCGCAGACTCAGCTGCCTGGACTCAAGTGATCCTCCCACCTCAGCCTCCCAAGCAGCTGGGACTACAGACTAGGGCTACCACACCTGGCTAATTTTTGTATTTTTCGTAGAGACGAGGTTTTGCCTTGTTGCCTAGGCTGATCTCGAGCTTGGTCTCGAACTCCTGGGCTCAAGTGTTCTGCCCACCTCGGCCTGCCAAAGTGCTGGAATTACAGGTGTGAGCCCCGGGCCTTCAACTGTCCTTAAAAGTTCTCTGTCTGCTTCAGAAAGAACAGCTGGAACAGCTGGAAATTGTAGAGTGTTTTCTGCATACATTTTGCACCAAAGAGGACATAGAACTCCCCTGGCTGTCAGGGAAGGAGGAAAGGAGTGGGGAGCTCATCTCATTATTAGCCAGTTTATTCCCATTAGATATTTATCATTAGACACACGTGATGTGCCTCTAGCTTTTCGCAAGTCTTGTCACTCACCTTGCCTTTTCCATTTTGTTGGGAATCCTCAGATGCGGAGTGCAAGTGCTGGCTGTAACGAGTCACTGCACATGTTTCTACTCAGTGATTGGAAGTGTAAAAGTCCTTATTTAGTACAAGTTGGTCTGCCTGTGATATGTTACTGAATCCGTGACTAAGTTGTGGTTTCTATCATGACAACAAAGATATTGATGGTGGAGTTGGTTTGGTTTTTTTGTCCTTTTTTTTGTGGACTTTTTTTTTTCCCCCTCACTCTTGAAACTAAGGCTGTTTAATCCACGCTGGTGGTTAAGATGATTTTAAGATTGTCAGTAGGAAACCTCTAAACATTCCTTGGTTAGACGTGTGCAGTGTGAGTGAAGCCACCACTGAAAACCAACAGTAAATCTCAGCCGACTGTGCAGGATGGCCAGCTAGCGCACGGGGCTGCAGGTTGGCTGGAGCTGATGCCACAAAAAAATACTTTAGTATAGTCTAAAGGTAGCTGATTGCCTGGAGAAGATGATAAAAATTTGGAATATTCACGATACGTTATGGGGATAGAATATATTTGGTTACAGTACATAAAGAATGTTTCCTCCAAAGAAAGAACGGGAGGGAGCTCCTGAAGAGTGTGTCATTTGAGGATGGGGGAAGGACCTGCATTGCCTGGGGCATCTACCCCAAGCAAACCCTGCTGAGCGTGGACTTCTCTGCTTGAATCACCCCGTCTTCCTTTAGGAAAAGACGGAGAAAGGAAGGAAGTTGGGTCTCAGTTGCGCATGCAGCAAGTAGATGTCTTGGTGTTAAATTCTCCATTAATCAGAACCAGGCATTCTGAATGTTAATTTCCATCCTAAATTTTACACGTGCTGGGGTGGAGGTTAAGGCTCAGATTTATCTTGCTAAGAGCCACTTTGCTTGCCAACTATTTATGAATTTCAGGAATTAGAGCTAAAAGTTGCGTGATTGCAGGGCTGGCAAATGGGCTAACCAGCATCGTTTCCATTTTTGATGCTCCATTTTGAAATGGTTTATGCTCTATGTGGACTTTTTCACTGTTATATTTTTAGTGGCACTGAAAGTGGAAGTCTTTCCTGGCAAGTAGGTGCTATGGCTTTTAAACTGCACTGTGTTTAAGGATTTTTTTTTTTTAATTGTTGAAAGTAGACTAGGCACTGTATGGCACTGCAATCCTAATACCGTGTTCCTTCCTTCCAACTCTTATTGCTTCTCACTTTAAGTAAAATCCTAACATAGAGGGTATAAAATACCACGTCCTTTTCACAAAACTGTTCTGATTGTGGAAGTGTATGCATTGGGCTGTTTTAGCCTGATGCCATTAAAATGTTTTGAATCCTATAATTAGCTCCCCTTTTTCTAATTCTATATGCCCACCAAGTCCATTTCTGATTATAAATTGGCTTGTTGAATAGATCTGCCTGCAGGGGAGAGAACGTACTGATCGTATGATGATACCATTGCCATCTTAAAAAGAGGTGTACTTTATTTTGTTTTTTTATTTTATTTATGTATGTATTTATTTTTGAGACAGAGTCTTGCTCTTGTCGCCCAGGCTGGAGTGCAATGGCGTGATCTCTGCTCACTGCAACCCCTGCCTCCCGGGTTCAAGCAATTCTCCTGTCTCAGCTTCCCAAGTAGCTGGGATTACAGATGCGTGCCACCACACCAAGCTAATTTTTGTATTTTTAGTAGAGGCGGGGTTTCACCATGCTGGCCAGGCTGGTCTCGAACTCCTGACCTACTGATCCACCTGCCTCAACCTCCCAAAGTGCTGGGATTACAGGCATGAGCCACCACACCCGGCCCTGTAATTTAAGTTTTAATTTTTTTTTTTTTTTTTGAGACAGTCTTGCTCTGTTGCCCAGACTGGAGTGCAGCGGTGTGATGTCAGCCCACCACAACCTCCCCTTCCCAAATTCAAGCAATTCTCATGCCTCAGCCTCCCTAGTAGCTGGGATTATAGGCGTGCACCACCACGCCCGTCTAATTTTTGTATATTTAGTAGAGACAGGGTTTCGCCATGTTGGCCAGGCTGGTCTCGAACTCCTGGCCTCAAGGGATCCACCCACCTGGGCCTCCCAAAGTGCTGGGATTACAGACATGAGTCACTGCCCCCAGCCAAAAAAAAGGTGTACTTTTTATTGCAAATGAAGACCTTGGTCATTTGTTTGCATCGATCAGTCTCTGATGCCTGATGAAGATAAGTCCATTCTGGGGGCAAGATCTCCATCAGGGCTAAGGACCAGACCCCAAACACTGAGGTGAATTTACCAAAATGACCCCACTCTGGAGGGCTACTTGGTGGACAGCTTCCTTGCTATGTCTGGAAGAACCCTGTCTTCCTTCGGGCTGTCGGCTTGAAACATGAACAGTTACTATTAAATGGGTTTGGGAACAATGACTGATAGTACCAGCTGGAGATCAGTGCAGCTGAATGCATGCAGTGTCCTTTTGGGGGTACCTTAGAGATAATCAGCCCTAACTCCACCTAGCTGCTGCTACAGTTCAGGTGAGGGAAATGCTAACCCTTAAGACAATTCCTTTAAATCTGCAGACTATTTTATGTAACATGGATGGAGCAGGATGGAAAATAATTAAAATAAATTCCTCTTTTAAAAATACACTTAACATAAATAAGACTAGTTCGAGTGTTGGAAAGCATTCTGGAAAAGAAAACCTGGTCATGAACCAAGTAGAAATCCCTTGGCAGCCGACGGCCCCTCCAGCTGTATTCAGTTATTGAACAGCTGTCAAAGAAAGCAACGCATTATTTGTCCATTTAGAACAATTTCAGAAAGCTGTTTTCAACCCCCAATGGTATTTTTCTGCAGCCTTCTAATCTCTGCAAAGGGTTTAAAAGATATAATAACCCATGCTTGTATCGGGCCTGAGGTTACCACCAGAGCATGGAGACACAGTGAGCAAGTTCATGTGAAAGGAATTAGAACCATTAGAATTTTATTTCCTGCAGAATGTAGCACCATGGCACATAATCATATGTGGCTGTCTTGGCTCAAAGTCAGCAACAGTATCTACTATTTGTTTCTCAACTACATGACAAATATTATAAGATAAAAACCAGTGCTGTGTGTGTTCCTTGCTTAACTAAAGAGTTGGAAACCACTATTAGGTGAATTTCTATCTTAAGCATTTTATCTTACAGAGCGGCTGAGACTGGCTAGTTTTATGAGCTTGTAATGATATGAAATACAGGCAACACAGTCTTTCTTTTTGACTTAATGCTCAAACCATTTTGGTTTGGAAGCCTCAGCTTTCTTTTCTGTTTTCATTAAAGGGTTCAGGCTTCTGACCAGGAATGCCAGTATTTGCATATATCAAAATTCTAGACTCAGAAAAACTCAAAGTTTGTCTTTTGGTTTTTCTTTGTGGTTGGTGTTTGCCAAAAAAGTTTTTATTTTAGTGAAAGTGTTACAAAATTGGAAATCCACTATTTGACTGTGAAACCAGGGCATAGTTTTAGTTGTAAAAAAAAGCTTTTAAAAAATCTGTTTTGTGGCTTCTGAGACATGAAGTGTTTTGACACTGTGGACTTCTCATTGTTAAGTGTTTGTAAGTATTTCAGAGAGGTATCCTTCTAGGAATGGGAGAGGGCAGACAGCCCACACGAGAACACAGCTTGTTTCTCAAGACCCCTGAACATAAATTGGGGTTCACTTTCAGGAAATCAAGGCCCAGGGTCTACTGGACTTTCCAGTTAACTTGCGCTTACCTAAACAGAAATTCTCCTGCAGGGAATTCATATGCACCATCTTCTCTCTTATTTAAAGCATCTAGTATTTGTGCTTTGAATATTCCAAAAAACATATGCCGTATTATCTTGACTACCTTTCCCCAGTAGCAAACTTGAACATATAAGGATATTCTTCTAGGTGGCTCTCTTCAATCAGGCCCCAAATGACCAGATGTCAAATAAGCCAACATAAACTTGACAGTGATCCTGGCTTTGAATGCCAAGGTCAACACAGCATTCACCCGTGTTACATCCCCATTAAACTCTCTTCAGTTACAGTACCCAGGCAGAATTTGTGTTAGACAGAGTGAAAGTTGTCTGCATTGCTTAAAACCTTTCATACTTTTCATTGATAATTTTTCAGTCTTTCTACTACACAATGTTAGTACGATTGTTAAGTTAGAATTAGATGAAAGTTATTATGTGCAAACTTACTGTGTGGTCTAAAATGGCCAATCTCACTTCTCAAAAGAAGACATACACATGGCCAACAAACAGGAAGAAAATGCTTATCATTAGAGAAATGCAGATCAAAACCACAATGAGATACCATCTCATACCAGTCAGAATGGCTATTATTAAAAAGTCAAAAAATAACATGCTGGTGAGGTTGTGGAGAAAAAGGAACACTTATACACTGCTGGTGGGAATGTAAGTTAGTTCAGCCACTATTGGAAAGCAATTTGGAAATTTCTCAAAGAACTTAAAACAGAACTGCCATTCGACCTGGCAATCCCATTACATTTATACCTAAAGGAATATAAATCGTTCTGCCATAAAGAGACATGTACGCATATGTTTATCGCAGCACTATTCACAATAGCAAAAATGTGAAATCAACCTAGAAGCCCATCAAATGGTGGACTGGAAGAAGACAGTGTGGTACATATATGCCATGGAATACTATGCAGCCGTTAAAAAGAATGAAATCATGTGCTTTGCAGCAACATGGATCAACTGGAGGCCATTATCCTAAGTGAATTAATGCAGGAACAGGAAACTGAATACCACGTTCTCACTTATAAGTGGGAGCTAAACACTGAGTATACATGGACACAAAGAAGGGAAGAGACACCGGGGCCTACTTGAGAGTGGAGGGTGGGAGGAGGGTGAGGATAGAAATACTACCTCTTGGGGACTATGTTCATTACCTGGGTGACAAAATAACCTGCATACTAAATTCTCAGGACATGCAGTTTACTCATGTAACATGCAGTTTACTCATGTCACAAACCCCTGAAGCTAAAATAACAATTGGAAAGAAATAAAAGTTTAAAAAGTCAATCTAATTTTTGAATATTTTATATTATAGATAAATGTTTTTACCTGATGTTCTCATTAAAAGAGTTACAGATGGAGGAGAGTTTTACAAAACCTTTTATATGGGTTCTGTCCCTTCCTTGAGTTCTTGGATGAAGGGATTATGTCTGTTTTTGTTGGTTCCTCTACCTCCACCCGACTTTTGAGAAGGTCTAGGTTCAAAATCCCTGGACAGACCAGGCGGGGTGGCTCATGCCTGTAATCCCAGCACTTTGGGAGGCCAAGGTGGGCAGACCACCTGAGGTCAGGAGTTCGAGACCAGCCTGGCCAACATGGTGAAACCCCGTCTCTACAAAATAGACAAAAATTAGCTGGCTGTGGTTGTGCATGCCTATAATTCTAGCTACTCAGGAGGTTGAGACATGAGAATCACTTGAACCTGGGATGTGGAGGTTGCAGTGAGCCAAGATCGTGCCACTGCACTCCAGCCTGCACAATAGGGTGAGACTCCATGTCAAAAAATAAAAATAAAAAAAATCCCTGGACTATTGTTCTTTCTTTTATCCCTCACCCCCATCCCATCCTTCCCTCTGAGTCCCCAAAGTCCATTGTATCTTTTTTATGCCTTTGTGTCCTCATAGCTTAGCTCCCACCTGGGCACTTAGTAATTGGGGGAGGGGAAGGAGACGTATCATTTTTCTTCTCTGGTGAACGTGGACTTTTCTGCTGGAATGAACAACTGATGGAAAAAGAGGTAGACATCCCATGAGTCAGTTGAAAGACCGTCACCTCCACAGGCATGCTGTAGAAATGGACATATGTGCCATGTCTCCTTTCCACCCTGTGGAGTCAGCCTTTATCCCTCCAGACGTGTCACCTGCAACTCAACATTCCTGGTTATTCTCTGAGCACATTGATGGCCTCCTGTAGACCAAAGTATGGAAGGCAGTGGATGTCACACTGGTGACTTTGTGGTCTTCTTGATGTTCTTCTCCTCCTTTGGTCCCCTCTCAAGTGTTTATAAACCCTCTTGGAACTATGAGCAGGCCTGAGTTTCCCTCTTGTGACTCTAAGGATCAGGATGTCACACCTTTGCCAGTAACAGCATGGAACTGCCTCATCTTCTGCTGTAGTGAGAGAGGCACAGGTATGATCCCAAAATAGTGAGGGTCTCCCCATCTCCAGTATCCAGGCTAGGGTGCTGTGCTCCATTGACAGCCCCACATCTAGACTCCTATAAGGTCTTAAAGGGAGGGGATGAGAATTAAAATATTAAACACACTTGAAAGGGAGGAAATAGAATTAAACACACTCTAACAGAGAAAGCATGAGATGACACACACCTCCAACTCTTAAAAACAACTGACCTACGTACTGATGGGAACCAGCTCCGGCATTTGGTAGGGGATTTGGCCCAAGATTTCTGTCACCCGGGATCCAAAAGGGAGCATCTTAGAGGACACAGACTACTTGGAGGAAGGCAAATGCATTTCTCTGCAAGAGGCCAAAGTTGATTGCCTTTTTCTGTATAGACTTACCGCACGCAGATAAGTAACCAGCTTCGTGACCCCTTCTTGGTGCAGCACTGGGACTGATCACTGAGCTCAGTAGCTTTTCCCTTCCGGGAAGGACCAAGCAGAACTTCAGCTCCACCTGGGAGGATTCCCGAATCTCTTTCTCCGGATTCACTGGCTCTGGGAATTGAGGAAGAATCTCTGGCTCCTGAAAAATTTCCGGCTCCTGCTATTCTTCCTTACACCGTATCTCATCACACCCCTCTCCTGCTGGTCACATTTCAGCTCTCTTTATTGCCAAGACCATGTGTCTCCAGAATTTTGTGATTGCATACCTCTAGTGATAAAACTGAGTGTGAGGCCAGGTGCTATGGGTCACCCCTGTAATCCTAGCACTTTGGGAAGCCAGGCGGGAGGATCACTTGAGCCCAAGAGTTCAAGACCAACCTGGGCAACATAGTGAGACCCCATCTCTGCAAAAGAATGTTTTAAAAATTAGCCAGGTGTGGTAGCACATGCCTGTAGTCCCAGCTACTCAGGAGGCTGAGGCAGGAGAATTGGTTGAGCCCAGGAGATGGAGGCTGCAGTAAGCCATGATCGTGCCACTGCACTCCAGCCTGGGCAACAGAGCAAGACCCTGTCTCAAAAAGTAAATTAGTGCCTGAATAAATAATAATAAATAAAATTGAGCATGGACCCTAGTGGGTATATATTTATGAATTACATGATGCCAGATGTATCTGTATAAAATATCAGTGCAGGCTGGGCATGGTGGCTCACGCCTGTAATCCCAGCATTTTGGGAGGCTGAGGCAGGCAGATCACAAGGTCAGGAGTTTGAGACCAGCCTGGCCAATATGGTGAAACCACGTCTCTACTAAACATACAAAAATTAGCCAGGCGTGGTGGCGCATGCCTGTAATCCCAGCTAGTAGGGAGGCTGAGGCAGGAGAGTCGCTTGAACCTGGGAAGTGGAGGTCGTAGAAGCTGAGATCGTACCACTACACTCCAGTCTGGGCAACAGAGCAAGTCTCCATCTTGAATAAATAAAATTAAAATTAAAAAAAATAAAATATGAGCGCAACCAGACTTCATTTTTAGATAGCACTGTTTATAAGTAGTTTTATGCTTCGTGTTAGTGACCCCTGGCCTGCAGGATAAACCCAGCCCTTATCTGTGGCATTCAAGTTTCTAAAGCTGAATGCGACCCCTGTCTCTCTCCCGTCATGACTTCCTGGCCTTGCCTTTCCTCAGTGTCTGCACATCCCACTCCCAACATACGCCTTTCTTTCTGCATCTCTTTTCTTTGTCTGGTGGCCCCTCCCTGTGTCCTGTTTCCGTGACTGGGAAAGGCCTATATTTTTTTCCTATACAACTGTTGCCACCTTGTGATTTTTTTTTTTTTTCTCCCAGAGGAGATCTGTCTGGGAGCTCTCCTGCTAGACAGAGCAGGGGCAGCTCCAGTGCTGGTGAACTCTTCAGTCCTTGCATCACCCGGACCCACTGTGGGGCTGCAGATGGGCAGAACTGTCTTCTCTTTTACATTGTGCTGGAGAATGCGTGAGTCTGTCTTGGAATAAATCTTTTAAAGTAAAACTGCTTGTCAAAGCACATGTGCGTTGGAGACTTTGGTGATGGTTGTTGCCAGATATCCCTGCGGAGGGGCCATTCACACTTGTATTCCTACCGGGAGTGAACGTTGAATGCCTGTTTTGCCATAGTTATGCCAACACAGTAAATTATCCAACGTTTGGATTTCTGCCAGTCAGGTAAGAACCTGGCATCTCACCTTTGAGATCAGAAACAGCTGCTTTCTGGGATTCCACCTGGGCTTCCCTGCTTATTGAAAGGCAAGCACAAAAGTTATTGGTTGGAGGTGTCCTGTCCATTCTATCATCACTAAGTCAGCATCTTGGAAGGTCTGGAGCCTGCAGACTGGAATGGTTTCTTAGAACCAGGGTAGCCAGACACATGGACTCACCCCGAGGAATGCTCTCCTACAAGCAGGGTCTCACGAAGCCCGTCACCTGACAGTTGTTGACTTTACCTTGCGGGACGCCCCAGAACAAACACACGCAGCAGGAATGGCCTGGTGAGGGAAGGAGGCCACGCGCTGCCCTCCTGGGGCACCACCCCTGGTGCTTCTCAAGCATTCCAGAGGCAGCCTGACACTCTAAACAGAAAATACAGCTGCTCAGCAAACCCAGAAATCCCAGTCATTCAAATAAGATAAACCATCGTGCACAAGGGTGCTTGTTGTAAACTTAGAGTAATGAAAACCTAGAAACAACCTGTGAGTTCAAAATAAGGAATAATTATATGACCTATCTGTAAGATGAAAGGGTAAGTTATCCGTAACGTGAGGTTTAGTGACGAAGGAAAATAATTATGTGCTAAAGTGAAGTTAAAACTGTAAAAATGTACATGTAACATAACCTTCCTGCTGTGTAAAGAAAAATTGCAGAAAAAAACACACCTGGGGGAAATATACTAAGATGTTAGGTTTAGTGGCTTCTGGGAGCTGGGGTTGTGTATGTGGGATTATATTTTTCTTTCTGTTTCTTTATATTTTTTCTGTATTTTCTACCTTATATTGATAGTCAGGGGGCGAGGGCAAGGGGAAAGAGGTAAAAATCAAACACCTCTCCAGCCGCTCCTTGTCTCCAATAAAAAGGACATCAGAGCTTCTTAAGGCCTGAGCTTGGGACTAGGGAGTTGGGGGGACACCAGGTGAATCCCAGGGAGGTAAGGCGATGGCTTTCTAGCATGATCAAGGTCTCTGTGATCTCGATTAGTGAGAATAGAGTAAATTCTTTGGGTTGAAGAGATTTGCTGAGACCTTTGTGAACAAATATTTGCCCAGATACAAGTGCTAAGTCTGTTAGAATAAGGGGATAATGTGGTATTAAAAGGTGATTTCTCCAGGGTGCTGTCACAGGCACGCTCTGCAGTAGAGACATTGTCATTGAGAAGGAAGCTTAGCCATTTCTCATAATAATAGTGATGATAACAAAGCCCACACCGTGAAAGGCTAGCCACGGGCCTGCACAGATGTGAATGTTCTACACATATCAAACCACACAACTAACACTCAAAGTACGGTGTTTTCGATGTTAATACTTGACCCGTTTTGCAGATGGGAGAAACCGAGACAAAGGAAGATGAGACAGCTTGCGCCCATCACAGCCAGGACATGACAGAGCAGCTTGGCTCCAGAGTGGAACCACTCTCTGCCTTCCTATATTAGATGGATCCAAGGACAGGCGGAAATGTTGTCTGTCTGTCCTCATTGTGGTAGGAATTACACAGGTGTATACGTGTGTCCAACTTCATTAAACTGTACACTTCATTAAAATGGATGGACTTTATTATATCTAAATTATACCTCAACCAGGTTGGTTTTAAAAAATAATAAAAAGGCCTGAGGGTGACCTCTTCTCGAATTCCAAACTGGAGTCTGAGATCGTACCATTCTGATATGAGGAAAGGCTAGGCTCAGCTGAAACTCAGCCACCCATCCCGGAGGAACCGGAGAGACAGGGCCCAGACAGCGCCAACCAGCCTCCTCCCCGCGGCTGCAGGCCAGGCCGAGGTGGCAGGGGTGCTGGCTTGGAAGTCATTCCTGGGCTCGTGAGAAGTGACAGGAATGTGGCAGCGGATACTCCCCAACTTCCCACCTGGGCACGCCAGGAACCTGTGCCATTTCGTGGTTGGCGTCTTTGGAGTTGGGATGAAATGCCTTGATCTGCACCAGCAAAGCAGAAGAGTGCTGGGGCCCTTGAACTCTTTCCCCCGAAATAATAGGATGCAGAAAACTGCAGCATTCCATTATTTGTTCCTGTCACACAGGGAAATGCAGAGCCCAGGCCAAAATGGAAATCAGGTCTGATTGCTTCAACGAGAACACCTCGGTCCCAATTTTAGGTCAAGCCAGGGGTATTGGACAGTTGGCCAGATGGACCCGGTAACCCATGTTCCTTATACAATGGACTTGATTCACACCCTAGGCAAATGACAGTCTTCCCCGTATGGCCAGCCTCAAAAAGACATAGAAATAGATAAAACAGCCAAAGTTAAACTCTGCAAGTGCCTGGGGTCTACTGTGTTTGAGAATTGGATATTTGGTCAGTCCACTTAAATAAGAGCTCTAAAACATGCCACATGGAGATTTCTTTCTTTTTTTTTTCTTTTTTGCTAGGAATGTTAAGATCTCAGTGGCAATGGTGATGTGCATTCAGCCCTTTGTTATAATAACACACGACGTGCCTCCTGTTTTGAAATCCTTCCCCAGTTGTAGGGTGACGGTTTATCCTACCAGATACCGCATGACCAGACGCTTGGCGTGTCACGCTTCACATTATGGGGTTCTGGCAGTGGAAACTGATTGGGGAGGCACAGTGTCAACAGGAAATATCTGCCAGCGACACAGAAAAGGCTTCAGGAAAGATAACAGGAGGAGAGGCCAGATCCCGTCGTTGCCTTGCACTATGCAGATCGAGGAAGTGGGGAGTGATTCTGCCTTGTACAGAGCGTGTGGATTCACACAAAGTTCTCTTCTGTCCTGGCAGGAAACAGATCAACCCTCGGTTGGGGAAGGTGGAGGCTTGCTTTTCTCTGATCACACACTCTTGCAAACCTTAAAGCAGTTTCCATTAAACATATTTTATTTCTTCCAAATTAAGGATGACAATGTGAACCGTGAATGGCATTATTCACCGTGGGAAGCTGTTTTCCTTCACCCTCGGGATGTTTATGTATGCACCTTCATTTTCCTTGGCGTTTGGATGTGATTTCTTATGAAAGACTTGGAAATCTGCAAAAACTCACGAGTTACAAACCTACCGGTACTCAGAACTCTCCTGCATTTTCTAAGTGGTCAGTTCCTTTATTGTAAGAAAGCTGACTTGTTACAGTATCTCTTTAAAGGCAGTCCACGGTTTATATATTTTCATCTTCAATTTCTTTCTAGGCTGGTTCTTTAGGAGGAAGATTAAGTGTTAATCTTGGACCCTTGGTGCCAGAGTTAAGACCACGAGGACAGAGAAGTTCCAAGAGGGAAAATTTTAGCTCAAGGAAAGAAAGGATTTTCTAATATCCAGAACCACACAGGCATGGAATGGGCTGGCTGCCCAGGGCTGGAAAGTGAGTGGCAAACCCTGAAAGCATTTCAGCCACCAGTGCTGGAGTTTTTCCTCCTGAGGCTGCTGGGTCCTGGAACAGGAGGTTTACTGCTGCAAAGCAGTGGGTCAGAGTAGGAATTCCCAGTGTGTTTCCACGGAGGAGGAACCGTGCTCCCATCCAGTGCCCTGGGACTCTACGTGTCTCTGGAGCTGGTTTCTGGGCCAGTGCTTTGTTCCTGGCACACAGGGAGATGCAGAGCCCAGGCCAGAATGGAAATCAGGGGTCTGCTTGCTTCATCAAGA